>NC_000003.12:117341937-117644967 GCF_000001405.40 Homo sapiens | reverse complement strand
GGAGACTGGACCTCCGCCTGTGCCTGACAGTAACAAGGTATCCCCGCCTCTCTACACTGAGGTTGTGTCCTCCCTAGTAGAGAGCCAGAACTCTCAACCACCACCCAGCAGTAACAAGGCCACTCCACTGTCAGTGGAAACAACAAGAGGAACAGCAAGGAGGCACTCCTAGCCCTCCCAGACATAGGATTATCAGTTGGAACAGCCAACCCTGCCCAGCAATAACAGAGCCATTCCTTTCTTAGTGACAATGGAGACCCAGCAGAGAAACTAGATTTTTACCCTTACCTGGCAGTAATGAGGCCCCCTCCTTGCTTCCATGCTGAAGCACTGTCAGAAGAAGCCAACTAAAATGGAAGGTTTGAATAAGAGCCAAAGTCTCCAAACATAAACCCCAAAATGTATATGTTCCAGTCAATCTTTATACAGAGAACCAGAAAAATCTCAACTGGAATTTTTAAAAAATCAATAATCATCAATAGTGAGATGACAGATATGTTAAATTATTTGACATAATTTTTTAAAAACCATTATAAAAATGCTTCAGTAAGCAATTACTAACACATTTGAAACAAATGAAAAAATGCAAGCTCAGCAAAGAGCTACAAACCTTTAGCAAAAAAAAAAAAAAAAAAAAAAAGATGATAAAAAAACACAATATCAAAGACATGGAATCAACCTAAATGCCCATCAATGATAGACTGGATAAAGAAAATGTGGTACATATGCACCATGGAATACTACACAGCCATAAAAAAGAATGAGATCATGTCCTTTGCATGGACATGAATGGAGCTGGAGGCCATTATCCTTAGCAAACTGCCATAGGAACAGAAAACCAAATATTACATGTTTTTACCTATAAGTGGGAGCTGAATGATGAGAACACATGGACATAGAGGGAAAGAACACACACTGGGGCCTTTCAGAGGGTGAAGGGTGGGAGGAGGGAGAGGATCAGGAAAAAATTACTAATAAGTACTAGGCTTAATACCTGGGTGATGAAATAATTTGTACGACAAACCCCATGACACAAGTTTACCTATGTAACAAACCTGCACCTGTACCCTTGATCTTAAAATCAAAGTAAAAAAAAAATAGAAATTTTAGAACTGAAAGATACAATAACAAAAATAAATACAACTCAGCAAATAAGCTCAACATCAGAATGGAAAGGAATGGACAATATAGTGAATGATCTCAATGATATAACAATAAAAATTACCCAATCTGAGTAAGAGAGAACATGACTTAAAAAAACAAAAACAAAAACAAAACAAAAAAAAACACAGAGCCTGAGAAACCTATGGGGCTAGATCTAATATTAATGACATTGGGGTTTGCAAACAATAGGATATAAAGGGCAAGACTGAAAAAGTCTTCAAAGAAATAGTGACTATAATTTCCCAAATTTGGCAAAAGAAATAAACCTAAAAATTAAAGAAGCTAATGTAAACCCCTAAGAGATATACCCAGAGAAATTTATATCTAGGCACTTCACAGTAAAACTCCAGAAAACTAAAGGAAAAAAACTATCTTGAAAGCAGTGAGAGAGAAATGGTGCCTCAGCTATAAAGAAAAAGAAAATTGAATGATAGTAGATTTCTCACCAGAAGAAAGTGATGCATTTTTCAAATGCTAAAAGAACTCCCAAACCAGAATTCAATATACAGCAAAACTATCCTTTAGGAATGAAGGGAAAATCATGCCATTCTCAGAGGAGGGAAAGCTAAGTGAATTTGTGACCTGTAGATCTACCCTAAAATAATGGCTGAAGAAATCTCACTAAACAGAAAGGAAATTATAAAAGAAGGACTTTTGGAACATTAGGAGGGAAAAGGGAATAAAGCATAAAAATATGTGTGAAAGTAATACATTGTCCTTCACTTCTTGAGTTTTCAGAATTATATTTGATGGTTGATGCAATATTTTAACACTTGCTGATGTGATTCTCAATATGAATAGGAGAAATATTTAAGGCAGCTGGATTATAAATGGTAAAGGGACATATAGGAAGGTAAAGTTGCTACCCTTCACTCACAATAAAATGTTGATAATGATAGACTGTGACAAATTATGTTTATATTGTAAATACATTGAACTACCAATAAAAATTATATATGAAGACATGCAATTGAAAATACTATAGACAAAAATGATATCCAAGTAAATAATATCCAAGTAACCCGTAGGAAAGTAAAGAGATAGGGAGAGATAGAAATAAAAAACAGAGCAGACTGGGCGCGGTGGCTTACGCCTTTAATCCCAGCACTTTGGGAGGCCAAGGCAGGCAGATCACTTGAGGTCAGGAGTTTGAGACCAGCCTGGCCAACATGGTGAAACCCCGTCTCTTCTAAAAATACAAAAATTAGCCAGGTGTGGTAGTGTGTGCCTGTAATTCCAGCTACTCGGGAGGCTGAGGTGGGAGGATCACTTGAACCCACGAGGGGGAGGTTGCAGTGAGCCGAGATCATCCTGCCACTGCCCTCAAGCCTGGGCAACAGAATGGGACTTCATCTCAAACAAACAAGAAAGAAAGAAAAAAAGAAAGAAAGAAAGAACAGAGCAAACAGAAAACAAAAAATAAAACGCTATACCTAATCCCCAACATTTCAATAATACATTAAATTAAATGGCTTAATACATCAATTAAAAGACAAAAATTGGCAGAATGTATTTAAAAACATGAACTATCTGTAGGTCGTCTAAAAAAATACACTTCAGTTATAATGGTATAAGCAAACTAAAAGTAAAAGGATGGAAAAAGATAAAATATAAAAACTTTAATCAAAAGAAAGCAGAAATGTCTGTATTAGAATTAAATAAAGTAGACTTCAGAGTAAAGAAAATTAACAGAGATAGAGAGGAACATTATATAAAGATAAAAAGGTGAATTCACCAAGAAGATATAGCAAGTCTAAATGTGTGTGTATGCGCCTAACAAAAGAACTGCAAAATAGATGAAGTCAACTTGATGGATGTGAAAGGAGAAATAGACAACCCACAATTAGAGTTGGAGACTGAAATATCCCTTTCAACATTCCATATAAGTAGTGGGAAACCACAAATAATATTGAGGAACTTAAACCAGTATCAACCGACAGGATCTAAACAACATTTATAGAACATTTCTCTTAATAACATCAAAATACACATTCTTTTCAAGTGTCCATAAAATACATATCAAGATAGACCATATCCTAGGCCACAAAACAAACCTTATAAATTAAAATAAAATTATACAAAGTGTCTTCTCTGACTAGTGTGGAATCAAACTGGAGATCAATAATGGAAAGATAATATTAAAAAAATCCCAACACTTAGAAACTAAACAACACATTCTTAATAATCCATGGGTCAAAGAGGAAGTCTCAAGAGGAATTAGAAAAAGTACATTGAACTGAACTAAAATGAAAATCCAATATACCAAAACTTGTGGGACATATCTACAGTAGGGCTGAGACGGAAATGTATTACCCTAAATGGTTACATTAGAAAAGGGGAAAAATTTTAAATCAATAATCTAAGCTCCTCCCTGGCAAACCCAGAAAAATTATAAAACTAAAGCCAGCAGGAAGAAGGAATAATACAAATCAGAGCAGAAATCAATGATACTGAAAAAATAAATATGAGGAGAAAAATGAAACAAAAAACTGGTCCTTTGACCAACATCAAGCAAAACTGATGACTGCATGCCCCTCCAAAACAGAAGGAACAGACTAACAGTGTTGGAAATGAAACAGAAGATATCACTTCAGATGCTGCAGAAGTCAAAAAGATGATAAGGGTATACTAACAAATTTGTCAGCTTGGATGAAATGAACCAATTCCTCAAATAGTACAAACTACCACAACTCACCCAATGTGAATTAGAAATTGTGATACTACTATAATTATTAAATTTGAATTTGCAATTATCAAACTCCCCAAAATAAATCTTGAAGACAAGATGATTTCATGAGAGCATACTTCTAAATATTTATAGATAATCAACATCAATTCTACAAAATCTCTTCCAGAAAACAGAGAGAACAGAGGTTATATCAATTTATTTTATGTTAGTGTTTTCCATATACCAAAGCCAAACAAAAGCAGTGCAAAAGTGAAAAATACAGGAAAATGTCTCTTACAAATATAGATGCAAAATGCCTTTAAAAATATTAGGAATAGAATTTTGCAATATATGAAAAGATTTAAACAACATGATTAAGTGTTTAGGAATACAAGGCTGATTTCATATTTGAAAATCAGTCAATGTAATCTGCCGTAATAACAAGCTAAACAAGAAAAAATCATATAATCATATTAATTGATGTAACAAAAAGCATTTGACAAGATTCAAAACTTATTCATCATAACAATTCTTCGATAATGAGGAATAGGGGTGAATTTCCTCAATTTGATAAAGAGCATCTGCAAAACTCTACAGTTAACACTGCACTTACTGCTGAAAGACTGAATGATTTTCCCCTAATGTTGGGAGCAAGACAAGGATGTCTGCTCTTACCAATCTTACTCAATATAGTACTAGAAATTCTAGCCAGCACAATAGCAAGAAAGGGAAATAAATGGCATATTAATAAAAAAAATACATAAAACTGTCCCTACTGGCAGATGGTATGATTATGTATGTAGAAAATTGCAAGGAATCTGTAAGAAAACTTCTAAAACTAATAAGTGAAAGAAAAAGTCACAAGTTACATGATAAGGCACATTAATAAACACAACCAATTTATTGTTTTCATCTGTCTTCAAATTTAGTGCATTTTTTCTTAAGGGCAAAATGAAATATTTTGTAGTGCTTATAGTCTGCGTGTTATAGAAGAATACTTAATGATGTAAAAATCTTACCTTTATTTTTTATTGGTAAAGTTGTTACCAAACAATAAACACAGGATGATCTCATTTTTATAATAACATTATGTTAATACAGAACGAAGACTAGGAGGTTAAATATCTACATGTTAATTAATAGTGGTTACTTTTAAGCAGTAGGATTATGGGTGATATAAATTTTCTACTTTGTGCTTTTGGCTTCCCCAAATTTTGACATTGTTTTTAAAATAAGAAAGCTATTTCTTTAAAACAAAACAAAAAAAGCATAGAAAATAACTAGTTTTAAAGGCCATGTTCACTTTGCAACAGATAATTAGATTTGAAAGCAAAGCAGCTTTGAGTCCTTAAGTTATTCCATTATAGCATCCATCAGAGATAATTTTTAACATAGCTCACCCCTATTGTACATTATTGCATGCAAGCAAAGCTTAACTTTCTTTTTTCTTGACTACAGTTTTTTGTCTCCAGAAAAATCCTACTTTGTAATTGTAAAATATGTAATACATATTCAAGTCTATAAAAAATATACATTCCAATGCAGCATTTTAAAAATCAAATTTTTATGTATTAGTAATGTGTACTTGGGCCCCAAAATCAAAAATAAAATACCATTTACAATTGCTAAACAATTAAATATGTAGTTGTAAATCAAACCAAACATGTTCAGAATTTGTATGCTCAAAACCACAAAACTCTGAAGAAAGAAACTTAAGAATATCTGAATAAAAAGACAGACAATGTTCATGAATATGAAGACTTCACGTAGTGAATATGTCGATTTTCCCCAAATTGGTAGACAGGTTTAATGCAATTCCTATAGAAATCCCAGAAAGATTTTTCTGTGGATATAGACAATATTATTCTAAACATTACATAGGAAGACAAAAAAAAAAACAGAGTAGCCAAAACGATTTTGAAAAATAAAAACAAATAGAAGGAGTCAGTCTACCTGTTTTTAGGCTCATTAGATAGCTATAGTAATCAAAGCTGTATGGTACTGGCAGAAGGACAGACACATAGGTCAGTAAGACAGAAAAAAATAGCCCAGAGATATGCTCAACTGAATTTAACAAAATTTTACAAATTGAGGAAGAATACACTTTTCAATAAATGGATCATGGAGCAATTGGACATTCATAATCCAAAAAATTAAAACAAAATGAAACAAACCTCAAACTAAACCTTGTACCTTATGCGAAAATTAATTCAAAATCACAAACTTAATTATAAAATATAAAGCTATAAACCTTTTAAGAAACAAAACATATAAAATCTTTGGAATCTAGGGCTAGGCAAATAATTTTTATAGTTGACACCAAAAGCGCAATCCATAAGAGGAAAAAGTGACAAATTTCGCCTCAGTTAAATTAATTTTGTTATCTTTGCAAATGGCCCTAGCAAGAGGATGAAAGGACAAGCTATAGACTTGGAGAAAAAAAAATCCCCATATTCTACAAACGACTACTATCTAGAACACATAAGGAATTCCCAAATTTCAAAAGTAAAAGAAAAAAAAAATCCTATTAGAGAATGGTCAAAAGGCAGGAACAAACATTTCACTGAAGAAGATATACAATACAGGTGGAAAATAATCACATGAAAAGATGTTTAATATATTTAGGGAAATACAGGTTAAAATCACAATGAAATATCAGTTTATAGCCATGAGAATTACTACTTTTTAAAATATGAGAACACCAAATTGGTGATGAGGATGCGGAGGAACTGGTTGCTCACACAATGATGGAGGGAATAAAAAACGTCCTAAAGTTTGGAGAACAATTTGGTAGTTTACAACAAAAACAAAACAAAACATGACATCACCATATGACCAAGTGATTGCACTCCAAGACATTTTTTTCCCACAGAAATGAAAAGTTCACACAAAAACCTGTAAAAAATGTTCATAGCAGCTTTATTCATAATAATCAAAAACTGGAAGCAAACCAGATATCCATGGGGCATACTATATTTAGAAAGTATATAATTATACTTAGTATTAGGAAAGTATACTAATATTATATAACCCCCTTATTTACAGGCCGTACATTCCAAGAACCCCAGTGGATGCCTGAAACCATGGATAGTACTGAACTCTATGTATACTGTTTTTCCTATACATAAAAACCCATGATGAAGCTTAATTTATAACTTAAGCACAGTAAGAGATTAACAACTAATAACAAGGTAGAAGAATTATAGCAACATACTGAAATAAAAGTTGTGTGAACGCAGTTGTGTGTGCTCGCTCTCTGTCTCTCTCTCTCTCTCTTTCTCTCTCTCTCTCTCTCTCTTTCTCTCTCTCTCTCTCTCCCTCTCTCAAATATATTATTGTACTGTACTCACCTATTTTTGGACTGCAGTTAACCACGGGTAACTGCAACTAGGGAACACGTACCATGGATAGGGAAGGTATACTAAATAACAAGATGTAGAAGTAGGTTCGATTATGCTATAACTTCAAAATAGAGAAGAGTGTAAATTACATTTTGAAAATCTGCAACATCCAAATTAGTGCAATACAAAAATATCTGTGATTCTACTAAGGATAAGATCATGGTTAATTTTAACACTATATCACAGTTTGTTGAATACATTCATAATTGAGAGAAAGAATGAATTTATTTAGTGCTTAATGAGAACACTGATGTAATTTTTTTCCTATCCAGTCCACAGATCCCATGTTAAAAACCCCTTGTGCAGAAGGAGTATTCAGTAGGTTATGTAACTGCCTGATGGGACCGTTGCTCCATCTGAAGCATTATCTTCACTTGATCTTAGCCAAAAGGCTGAGAAACGATGAAGCCCTATCTTCAAAGATCTAACTCGGTGTCCCTATCCCTCTCTAAAATTATGGTTGATAAACTGTTTGCTTCTTTTTGCCAGATTTTATTTCCGTGAAGCTAGGAAATTAGTTTTGCTTTAATGGTCCTTTCTCTTCCCAAGGTCATCCCTTCAGTCTGTGGTACCACACTGAAAGTTAGGGTACATTTTCTAGGATGATGGTGGGTGTCCATCTGTGACGTTATCATCTCCCAGGTGAGAACAGAGGCCTATTTCAATTGGGTTCTGACTAGCTAGTTAATTATGTAAGTAGACTTTAAAAGCAAAAGAGGCCGGGCGTAGTGGCTCATGCCTGTAATCCCAGCACTTTGGGAGGCTGAGGCGGGCGGATCACGAGGTCAGAAGATCGAGACCATCCTGGCTAAGACGGTGAAACCCTGTCTCTACTAAAAATACAAAAAAATTAGCCGGGCGTGATGGCGGGCGCCTGTAGTCCCAGCTACTCGGGAGGCTGAGGCAGGAGAATGGCGTGAATCTGGGAGGCGGAGATTGCAGTGAGCAGAGATCGCGCCACTGGACTCCAGCCTGGGCGACAGAGCGAGAGCCCTTCTCAAAAAAAAAAAAAAAAAAAAAAAAAAAAAAAAAAACGCAAAAGAAGAAAGTGATATTGTGGCCACGGAGTGGATTTTTGTCTATTAGTATTGTTATTACTGCTGCTGTTGTTATTGTTATAATAATTAATGAGGAAGACAAGCATATTTAAAAAGTGATAGGAATATCTAAGAAAAGGGAAGAGGTTGAATATACATTCATAATATAGCGGAGAAATCAGGAGACTGGGTTCAAATCCCATCTCCTTCTTCACTGACATATGGTGGGACTTGTGCAAATTCTTTAACATATCTGGGGCTTACTTACCTATCAGAAAACTTTCATAGGTAAAATAAGGGGATAGAGAATTCTCTAGTCTCTCTAGCTCTGATTTCCTAAATTCTACAGTTTAAATTTTAGTGCTAGAAATTCTGAAATAACATTTTTAATGCTTCACATCTGTAGCTACAACTTTCATCCTTTTAAACAAATACACATTATGCCAAAACTCTCATTTTCTTTCAGGATTTGGTGCAGACTAATTTCTCTTTTAACACGTCAAGGCTTTGAACAGTCTCCTTTTAAAAGGGTGTGACTCTACCTGTCACAGACAACACCAGTCATCTGAAAAAGTGATAACATCAATATCTTCTTTCAACAGCATTATAATTGACTTATTTACCCGTACTATTTTTGTCCAGTCTTAGCTAGATGCCTTCCCTGATTATCACCTGGCGTTTGATCTTTGGCAATGACTTGCTAAGAGTGTGTGTATAAAGATCACTTCTGTGATGCATATATGTGTGGCTTTTAAGTTTTCTTATTGATCCACATGGTAGGATGCACGATGTTTGTGTGTGGAGATTCTCTAGCATGGTTAAAAGAAGTGTTTTGCAAATTATACCAGGTGTGTCGTTTAGTACACTATTTCCAAAGCATTTTCTAATTACATAAGTATTCAAACAGGAATTGTCAAATTTTAGAAGCAGTAACAGATGGGAAAACCAAATCACAGAACTTCAGAACCCAGAGGTGTCATTGCTGCCACACGCATTTTCAGCTCGATTAGCTATTTTGTCTCATTTTCAGCCTGTGTGTTTCACACGGTTTGAGAGACTTTCCATTTTGAGGGAATTCAGAGCAGTGGAAAACCCTTTCCTCTGTCAGAACCTTGCCTGACCCACGTTTCCTTGTTTGTTCGCCTCCTATCTTATTAATGCAGCTGTGAGTACATTTCCAGAACTCTTCACCTGCCACAGTGATGAGGGATCAGGTGCCAGGTAGGGTAATCAATCTGGAGGGCTTTTAGCAGTGCATCCTGCCACTGTTTGACTGCATGTCTCCGTCAAGGAGACTGTCTTCCTTAGATCGATAAATCAATCAGTTCTTTTTACATCTTATGAAGCACTCCTCACGCCCCGCGTCACTCATGCCGCACCACACACAAATGGAGAATCAGAGTCTAGGTCGGCCCAAACGGCCCCCATTCACATTCTATCCCATAATCACATATCCTTCCCTAAAATCAATTCCTGGCACAGTGGTAATGGATCAAAGTCCAGTTCTTCTTTCCTCTGAACTGAAGAGTAAATCTATCTAAAGTGCTGCATGTCTTGGTGTGTTTAAAACTAAATAAGTCACATCTGTAATTTGAAGGAGACTAATTGTAACGTTTATGACTAGAACTGCTTGAAGAAGACAGTAAATGTTGTATTAAAAATCATAGATGAGGCCAGGTGGGATGGCTCATGCCTATAATCCCAGCACTTTGGGAGGCCAAGACGGTGGATCACTTAAGATCCAGATTTGGAGACTAGCCTGGGCAACACAGCAAGACCCCATCTCTACAAAAAATGCAAAAATTAGCTGGGCATGGTGGCATATGCCTGTGGTCCCAGCTACTTGGGAGGCTGAAGTGGGAAGATCACTTGAGCCAGGGAAGTGGAGGTGCAGTGAGCCAAGATCCCACCACTGCACTCCAGCATGGGTGACTGAGTGAGATCCTGTCTGAAAAAAAAAAAAAAAGGAGATTACCTGATATTGTTCAAAGCAATTTGCAATTTTAGAACTGTCATTGGCTATTAAGGTTGTGAAGGGGCTGTGAGACCACCTAATGGAACTAAACTAGGTGTTTGTTCCTGTGCAGTAAGAAGTTTCCAGCTTCTTTTTTGACCTGGGGTGGAATGAGGGGTGGGAGTGAATCCTGTGTCACCCAGACAAAATCACTGCATTTGTTTCATATGTTGAGGTTGGGCTTAAAATATCATTGAAACAATGGATTCTATTGCTTTGGAGAAAAATTTGAAAAACAATAAATTATGCTTGGTGTTTTCATTTTACAACTGTGGAATCAAACTCATCTACACTGAGTGGCATAGACAAGGCCAAACACCTGGTAACTGGCAAAGCTAGGATGAGACCCAACCTTCCAAACATCTATCTACCCGCTAGGTGTGGCAACTTATGCCTCTAATCCCAGCACTTCGGGAGGCTGAGGCAGAATGATTGCTTGAGCTCAGGACTTTAAGACCAGCCTGGGCAACATAGAATGATTTTGTCTCTACTTAAAAAAAAAAAAAAAAAGAAAAAAAAGAAATCCAAGCATGGTGGCAAGTGCCTCTAGTCCCAGCTACTCCAGTGGCTGAGGTGGGAGGATCGCTTAACCTCTGGAGATTGAGCCTGCAGTGAGCTATACTTGCACCACTGCACTCCAGCCTGCATGACAGAGAGAGACCCTGTCTCAACAAACAAATAAACCAACAAACAAACATCCACCTCCACTAAATCTCCAACAAACAAACATCCACCTCCACTAAATCTTTAGAAAATGATTTTGCCTGTTCAGTGAGTTTTCCCAAGCAGGACTGTTTTCCCCTTCAGAATACAGGAAGAAACATCAGAGGCAGCTCAACAGTTCTGGGTATAGGGTAGAGCATGCCAGGAGGAGGAATTTGGCTGGCATTTATTGTTATTCCACACCCAATCACTGTCATTTCTTCATTGTTGGAAGGAAGCTTGAACTAGTGAGTTTTGAAGCCAGATAGATATAGAAATGAAGCCTGATCCTCCCACCAGCCCCTGCACACAGGTTTACAAGGCAGTAGCGCTTAATGGTTAATAGAATCAGCTCCAGAGGTAGGATGCTGAAGGACAAATCTGGCCCCATCCCTGCTGTGTAACTTGAACAAGTGACCTAAACTTTGCGGACCTCAGTTTCTTCATCTGCCAGGCCATGAAGACTAAAAGACCTAATGTAGGTGGAGAGAGCACAGCACCATCGCCATGGCTGCCTCTGAGTGTTAGTTCTCATTCCCTCCATCTGTCACCTGTGAATGTTGTTTCCTTAACACTTCTAACTTGGTGGCATGATGCCAGTTTTGATCTAAGCCTTTAGTGTCGGTTTCACTTTTCTTAGGCCCCCAAACTCCAAGTTTCAAATGAGAAAATAAAAGAAAAACATAACCAGGCAAATGTAAACATCATCTTCTTTTCCATCATCTGCAATTCATGTCGTCCTTTCTCACAAAGAAACATGCAGCTTTAGGCTTTCACTGAAAGCAGCAAGAAATAACCAAGGAACCGGAACACTACAGGTGGGTTGTAGGTAATCAGGCTACAGATGCACAATTCTGGCCTGGCAGCTGTTCTTTATCAATAGTTTTGAGTCTGAAAGAGCTGTGGACATCTCAGCATTACAGGGACCCAGAACTCATCTCAGCCTATTTGCCTTAAAAAAGTAAAAGTATCACATTAAAATATATAGCATATTTGCTTAAAAATGTATGTGAACCTAATTTTCTTTAGGCAATTTTCTGACACTCTGTGATAGGTGGTGGCATATCATGAAGACAAAAGAGTTTAAAGAGGCAAACAAGCCATATAACTAGGGCTAAGAATCTGTTCTAGATTGAGGGATAATTTAGATGTTGCACATCTGAAGAAGAAAGGGAGAGGAAGATGGCATCCTATCCCTTTATCAGAGGGGAAAATAGATCTAGACTGAAATCCAAAATCAAGGCCAGTCATTATTTGGGTAATAACTTTGGGGAAGATAAGGAGAAAGTTTCTATTGTGAAGAGCCAAAAGGAGCTTTCCTTCACAGGATATTATCTAGCTTCAGGTCCAGATGAGATTTTGGAGGTCATCTGACCCTTCTCTATCTCCCTGCTCCCTTCCCAGAAAGGAGATTCTCATGTTACTTATTATTAGAGGCAGAATTGGAACTAGACTCCAATCCCCCTGATTCTCAGCCAAGGGCTCTTTTCAATATGCTATCTCTCCAAACAGACGTTTGTCCACATATCCATTAGGGTTATCCAAACCCATACTGTGGTGACAGCCTGCTGAAATGAGCATCTAAACTGATAATGACGGTTCATTTCATATGGGCCATAAAGTAGCAATAACTGTCTTTAGCTTCTTGGTTGAAGCCAGACCTATAATCTCAAGATAAATAGCTTTGCATGCATTTACCAATCTCCTGAGCAAACCAGTCTTCCTTGTTCCTCCCCTCAGAAGCAGCATATGCTTAATTTTCAGACTAATGAAATGATTTCAAGGAGCTAAATACATGTGATGTACTTGGTTAGTTGTTATTAAGTGGCTTCTTATAATCCTGATGTTGTTACATATCTGCCTGCTGATGTTTGCATTTCCGAATTGTACATCCTCTCTGAATCATACATGGTTAACACGTCTATATTAGATTCTACTGTATTCCCCCTTCAATACCACAACTGCCAAACAAATTATTTTATTTATCCTCCAAGCACTTGTTACAAAGTAAATGTTATACAAGGTCATGCATCTGGTTCCTCTATAATTATAAGCAGGAACATCGCAGAAAATAGAATATTTTGACAAATACAACATTGGATCTAATGTAAGACACATGTGCATGGAGAATTTTTCTCTAACATTAGATGTAGGCTAAATCTGTTATTTCTTTAGTCATTTTAATGAGGTATCTTCAGCCTAATCTTTAGCTAGATCGTTTGGATTACTTTGTATTTTTCCTAGCTTATCTTAATGTAGTCTCGAAAAGTGACCTAAACATTCTGTTTCTAAAAATGATGACAACCTTTACTTTTCTATATAATATCAAATACATTTTTGTATGTTTTGTGGTAATACTATATCTAACATGGTTTTCATGTGTGTTCTAAAAGGAAGTTATATTACAAGTACCCAGTTTTAATGTCCTTGCAGAGGGCAGGGCCTTGTTTTTACTTGCTTTGATTGAAAACCAGCACATGCATAGGATGATTTATTTTGGGGGCCAATCAACAGAGAATACTTAAGGCTACTAAAGTCCCTGAAATATACAACTGTCTGTGAGTTCTGTAAACCGTGTATGTGCCAGAAAAAAATTTCAAACATGGTTTCTGGTTTCAAATAACTTCCAGCTGAGTAGAAAAGACAAATGCACAGAAAAAAATGAAGTATTTTAAAATATTGCAAGATACTATATTACATATAAATGCTTGTATGTGTAATATAGATAAACCTTGATGAAGAACATTAGAAAAGTTAGTAAGAACTGCAATGAGAAAATGTAATAGGGGACCTTGGGCTGAGAGCTGCCAGATGAGTAAGACTGGTTTAGAGGAATAGACTGTATTGTGGACATCAAATATTCACTACCCTTCCCTGGAGAAGATTATATTTCACTAGCCTATTGGCTTGAGGCTTGGCCACATGTTTGGCTCCGGGCCAATGGAAGGTGTGCCATTTCCAGGAAAGAACCTAGAGGATCAGTGTTTGCTTAGTTATGGTTATTTTCCTTCTTCCACACAACTGGCAGTGTTCAGATAAAGGATTCACTGTGAAACAGAACCAGAGCCAACCCATAGTAGGCTTGTAGCAAGAGAAGAAATAAACCTTTGTTGTGGTAAAGACATTGATATTTGGGAGTCATTCATTACTATAAGATAACCTAGTCCACCCTGACTGAAACACATAGGTAGGAGCAGGTGTTCAAGGCAGAGCAGGAGAGGAGAATTAAATAATTAACAGTGTTCTTTGAGGGGAGTGAGGAGACTAGTCTAACTTTAGAGACAGCATTGCTTCAAAAATAACAGCAAATGAAACATAATAGTTAGAGTTGGACTAAGGATAGGATGACTAATTTTGGTCTTGAAACTAAGAGTTCAAGTTGAATAATGACCAATAAATGTGTTTCTTTTTCTTTACATTCCCATCCCCTAGCATATGGTAGCTATTCACTCATATCTTGTTTGCTGAATTTATAGACTTAATTCAATTGACACAGTAAAATGTAGTGAAAATTTAGTTTCTAAAAGACCATGAGAAAAATAAAAGACAAAACCATGACCTATAATTGCAATCTAAGGAGAAAGGTGATAACAATTTATAGAATGACAATTGTAGATAACAAATAAAAAGATTTCATAAGCTAATGTGCTAGAATTCTCATCTGGAAGATAGTTTTTAAGCATTACTATGCTACTTTGACCATAGATTATAAACTCTCTACTGACAATAAATAAAATGCTTCTGCCTGAGAGATTTATTATATAATTTCTGGAAGGGGAAAGGCAAATGTAGGTATACTGCAATGATTTGTCTCTGTTATAGAATTTAAACAGTTATTGAGGGTATTGAGAGATAATCCCAATCAAAATATGACATCCACTTGAATGAGGTTTGCCATCTGGCCAATCTGTCAGTCTTCAGTGCCAAGCTGATTGGCTCTCAGCTGTTATCCTACTCCTTGTGGTTTATGGTCACTTATGCCAGTTATAAGCATGATGGAATCACTGGGCCCTTCCTCCTCTAGTCCACATCTTTTCAGATCTATACTACTTTGAACTTACAGATGTAAAAGTTCCGGGTAATATTCGCATAACCCTAACTAGGTTTCTCTTCAGTCCATCATTTAACTTAATAAATTCTGAACCTAGTTTTGGCCTGCATAAGTTCTGAGCAAACGCAAATAAAATTTCCTTTATATCCACAGCAACATTCCTTATTTAGAAGATATTAGACCCAGGAACTCATAATGTTACACTTAACGCAGCATCTGCTTCATCTCACGCTGTGCCGTGCTGGCAGTGTCAAAAGTAAATTAATTCAATTTAGAACTCAATTCAGTAGCCAACAGCAAAGTTATACCAGACTCCATAAGAATCAAGAGGAAATGCCACTCCACGATCAGACACTGCTTCTCGAAAGAGCTCTTATGTCAAACACCTGAGCAGGTTTCTTCTCGTGGGTGCCTACGTGCTATTTCTGATATTGAATTTTTTTCTCCCCTGCATTAGTTTTCCTTGCAAAAACAAGGAGAAAACAAATGCACCAAGTTCCTCAGGGAAGGATACTCTTTTATTAATATTGCATGTTATACAGGTTCAGGTCTCTATGTCTACATATGGGGATGGCAGTGGGGAAGAGGGAATAGTACAAACTGTATAAACTGCCCTTAAGCACCAAAATAGAAATACAAGCAACTGCTTTCAATCTGCACCTGGAACATCTGCAAGATGACTTCTGAATGTCCCAGTAAAATGGTCACGTGTCTGAGAGTGGAAACCCTGAGGCTGATTGGCTGGATAGCCGGGTGAGATGCTAATCTTGGCTTGGAATTCTCCCTTTAGACTTCAGATATTGTGTTGCTGTGTGCTTTCTCAGATTTTTGGCAGCCTGCCATTTAATAAGAGTAATTTAGGTTTGTTTGCTTTTCTTTGTGCTGACCCACTCAAAGAATGAAAAGGAAACTCATGATATTCAGAGAAATGCATCTGGGACTACAACCAGCTCTCTAGAGGCTGTGGCAGTGCCCAGAAACCACTCTTAGGGGATTTGCAGGGCAGCAAGCAAGGACACACCCCTCCCCTCCTGAACTTTTATTTTGCCCCTCTCCTGCCTCTGTCCTAGCAAGTCAAATCTTAGGGCCATACAGAAAGAGTGAAGGACTGTGGTGAGAGAGAGAGAAGAAGGAAGAAATACACTTCAGAGCTGCATGTCCCAGACCTTTTCTTTGATCTATGTTCTGTATTTATGTATTAATTTTTTGTAAGTAAAGTCTCATGTGTAGTGTCCAGCATAAAAGGAAAAACAAAATCTTTTTTAGTTCCCTCAGTAAATTTAGAATCAAGCAAATTTGTGTTACAGTTCCACCTTTACCATTCAATAGCATTCAATAGCAATGTGACCTAGAGTGAATTGCCTATTTTTGAACACTTAACTGTAAACATCTTTTTTTTTTTAGGATTGTCAATCTTTTTTTTTAAAGTTCTGGGATACATGTGCAGAACGCGCAAGTTTGTTACATAGGTATACATGTACCACGGTCATTTGCTGCACCTATCAACCTGCCAGCTAGGTTTTGAGCCCCACATGTATTAGGTATTTGTCCTAATGCTCTCCCTCCTTTTGCCCCCAACCCCCCTGACAGGCCCCGGTATGTGATGTTCCCCTCCTCGTGTCCATGTGTTCTCATGGTTCAACTCCCACTTATGAGTGAGAACACGCGGTGTTTGGTTTTCTGATCCTGTGTTAGTTTGCTGAGAATGATGGCTTCCAGCTTCTAAAAAATCTTATATCTATCACATGAACAAAGGCTTACTATAAAAAGTAATTGACATAGTATACAGATTATACATATTGTATCAGTGTCATTGATAAGGGTGTAACTACGAATGCATATGGGGAGGGGGCATGGTAGAGGGTATAAACTGTCCTTTAGCACAAAAAGAAAAATGCAAGAAGCTGCACCAGGAACATGCAGATTGATTGAATATTCATTTGAAATTATATGGAGGCGCCTCTCTGGTGCCAAACACACAGTAGGTGCTCAAAACACAAGCTGTCTTCCTTTCCTTTTCTTTTTTCCTCATCCCCCATCAAAGCCTTTTAATTTTCCAAAAAATACTTGTTTTAAACACCATTTCCTTTTCATGCAAAATACTGTGGAAAAGTTCACACTAATATTTTCAATAAAACTGTTCCTTTTTAATAAAAACCATCTTCTTTTAAAGAGAGCAACAATGACTTTTAGTTTAGTTTCATTTATCATTGAATATATTCCTTACAACCCAAAATGGAGCTAAAAACATGCCAGTAAGTACGTAGAAGAAATAATTTTCTTAAAATAATGACAAGTGAGTGGGCTGGGAAAAGGAGAGATGATGATAATAAAACTTTATATATAATCCAGTTTTCTTTGTTTTTTTTTTTTTTTGAAATTTCATCAGAGTCACTACACTGGACAGTTTTTCAAAATTGTTTTTCCCCTAACAAATAGCAAGTACAATACTTAATATGAATATTAAAAATTAGTGAACATTCTGTTTCTGCATGGTTGAGAGGCAATGTAATATACAGCAGTGATTTTCAATGTATGATTCCTAGGCCAAAAACATCAGCATCAACTGAGAACTTGCAAATTCTCAGACCACACCCCTTATCTACTGAATCAGAAATTCTAGGGTAGAGCACAGCAATCTATTTTAACAAGCTCTTCCCATGTTTCTGATACAACCTTTGAGAATTACTGATGTAGACAAAGATGGTTTTGGCCCTGACTTAATTTGGTTAAATGGTTTCAGGGGTCTCTTTCCCCACTGGAAAATGAGAAATTTGGACATGTTCAAGCAGTTATCTTAGGCTCTTTGGTTCTCTATAGTGTGTGAATGTTAACTCATGAGCAGTGAAGAGATTCCTCTAGGCTCTGGAACAGTTCTTGTCACTACAAGAATCTATGCTGTGGATTAAATCCTGAATATGTCGGTAAAGTAGACTCAAGTCTTTCCTACTAACTGTAGGAACCACACCTGATGACTCTCAAATAAAAACTAGTTCAATTATAAATGAATTAGGAACATACTATTTATTTTTCAAATGAAGACATACCTGCATGCTTTTAACTACCAGGAGTGCTGGGAAAAGATTAGAAACGAACTTGATCCAAGGCAATCATCACTGTTAGTCAAAGCCTCTTTTAGTTCCTCCAGGGAAGCTCTATCAATAACCCCTGGAGAGTTGTTAACAACTAGAAAGTGCTAGACTTCCTGGGGCTTAAGAAAAGTTTATGCAGTTGTGACTCAGGTGCTTTCGTTCTTGAATTTCTCCTTTCTTCAGAAGAAATAATATTTTGGTGGGCAGTTTGATCTAGTATTAGGGGAGGAAAGTGAAGTGATGTGGAGGGCTTTGCTTGTAGCTTTAGCCACACTTAGGATTAGAGAGGAGGTAGCAGAAGAGGAAGGCTGAGATCAGCCAGAAAACTGGCTGGGTAAAGGCGAACTGGAACTCACAGAATCAGACCTAACTTAGGAATAAAAAGTCAGGGAAGGGGATTTCAGGTTCCCTAGCCTTTCTCACGTTGAATTCCCATATCAACACATTGCTGGTCACTAAGTGCAGTTTTATATTTATAGAGAACCACTGTGCAGCTTCAATAAAACACGGGCTTGGCCGGGCGTGGTGGCTCACGCCCGTAATCCCAGCAGTTTGGGAGGCCGAGTCGGGCAGATCACGAGTTCAGGAGATCTAGACCATCCTGGCTAACACGGTGAAACTCCATCTCTACTAAAAATACAAAAAAAATTAGCCGGGCGTGGTGGCATGCGCCTGTAGTCCCAGCTACCCGGTAGGCTGAGTCAGGAGAATCACTTGATCCCCGGAGTCGGAGGTTGCGGTGAGTCAAGATAGCGCGACTGCACTCCAGCCTGGGCGACAGAGCAAGACTCCATCTCAAAACAAAGCAAACAAAACACTGGCTTGTTTTTCTTCTTTGTTGGAAAGTCCTCTGGCTTAACTACGGGACCACTATATCAAAATTTGGTCTGGTGTAAAATCAGAGCCATACTTTCAAACTTGAGAACATGTATGTCTTAGGTTTGAATCCTTAATCGAGTCAGTTATCATGGTGATGACGATTATAAGTATGATGATGATCGAGATGTTAATAACAGCACAGATATTAAAGATTCAACTATGTGTCAGGTCTTGCGCCAACAGCCCTGTGAAATGAGTTATATTCACTTTAATTTACAGATAAAGAAAGTGAGGATCAGGGAAGTTAAGCCACTGATCAGTGTTGTGTAGCACCAGTGCCCTACCAGAAAGTGCTATAGCCGAGGTTTCAATTACAAGCGTAGCTCTACAGCTAAAGGTTTTGCAGACACAACCTGCTGCCTCATTTGAAGAAAAGTTACTTCCTGACTTAAAATGCAGTGGTTTATACTCATTTTTGTTGTTATTATTCTACAACAGAACATAGAAATAAAAGGATACATAACAAGCACATGGGTTTCAGCTGAATGAATTGAGTAGAAGTGTAGTAATGCCATTAAGTAACATTTTTAGAAACTTTATTTCAATGAAAGAGCTCCCTAATTGAGGCAAATTCAAATCAGCACAGTCATTGTGATACAGTAGTTTGACTATATTAGTCTCTTACATGTAATTATTGTTTTTAGGGCCTTTGACTATCTTCTGCTAAATAGACATTATTCAAGGCATCTGATCCCACACCAAGGGTATTTATAGCCTCTAGAATCCTGGCTTTCCCCCCTGTAATTCATCTTATCCACTGCAGGGCTAGAGGAATCATTCCACACATACAGTTTAACCAACTCAATCTTGCAAACACTGACATTTATTCTACTTTTGTGACTCCCTTGTCTGCATGTCTTCAAAGATGGCATATATTTCCTGTGCTATTAAAAAGTGAACTTCTCTGTTTACCAAAACTGACCTGCACTTTTCACTGAGTTTGATTTACCACAAGTCCCCAGCATGTATTCCTCACTGTAATCAAGCAGGTTTTCTCTGTGCATATTTAAGAGGTATGTATAGTTCTATCTTCCCTTTTTCTAAAATTCATCCACATTCCAAGGTGGGGGCTTGCTTCTATCCTCAAATTCTGGATAGATTTTTAGACATGGTTCCTTTCTTATTTCTTCAACGATTTTTGAATATCATTATCTTGTCTAAATTTGGATTATACCACTTATACTAATTACTATCACTTGTTGCTTCGTTATATTAGTATAAGTATTATTTCAAAGCTGGACTATGTAGTTATTTGAGGAGAGTCTATATTTCATAACAGGTTTTACCAAACATTTATGTACATATGAATCATCTCAGATTCTCATTCAGTAGGTCTGGGGTGGAGCCTGAGATACTACACTTCTAACAAGTTTCCAGGTGATACTGGGGCTGCTTGTCCACAAATCACACTTTGAGTGTCGAGATACCACATCGCATCCTTGCCACAACAAACATAAACTGCCTCATGAATAATAGGGGTGCAATAAATGTTTATTCATTAAGCACTGGCAAAGGGTTTTATCTAAAACATATTAGCATGTGAGAGCTAATATTTTGAGATCATAACAGGGTAATTAATGATAGAGACCTCCAGAATATTTGCTGCTTAGAATAAATTTGGTCCCATTTGTCAAAAAATGACAGTGACACTGATTTGAAACATAGTGAGCAAATCTTGTGTTTCTACTTCCTTCCTCAAGATTGCAAGAAGATACTTAAAAATTCACCTTTGGGAAAACTTGTAACAAACTCTGAGCAACTTACCATACTGAAGCCAAGCAAGCTAGAATGGATGGGAACTATTTTCTCAAATTTTCCCTGCTGATCCTTAAGCACACCCTTCTGCTGTGGATGCATTTGCGCTTCATCGTTTCCTGCCGCTCAGCCACCTGTGTGTTCCCTGGGACTTTTTTCAGCCCCAAATAATCATTCTATAAAAAAGTTAGACAGTTCCTCCCTCATCTTCCCACTTGCAGTTTCTATGAAACATTGTCCCGAAATTGTCATGAATACAGTTTTTGATGGAGAAATCAAACCTGCTATGTACATAGGTGGCTGACAGCAAAGGAACAACACCACTTTTTTCTTTCTCACCCCTCAAATAAAAAGAGTGCTCCAAATCCGGGCTATTCATGATTTGTTCCATATCCACATGCTTTATTATAATGTTAATATTTTTCTTTAAAGACTACTTTTTTACTTAAATGTATTCCTAAGAAACATTTTATTGCTACCATGAATAGAAAAACCAGTCTAAGGTGCCATAAATAAATGAAAAAATGTTAAAAATAATTGATGCAATGGAAACAAAATATTACTTATTTTTAACTAGACACAATTTCCCTCAGAAGACTCTGAGTTTAAGGGCTGCTTTGCTTGTTAAAATGGGAATTGACAGGTAGAAGTAGTATTCAATGCAGAGGTACCAAGAGAGACTTTTTTCTTGACTTGATCATAGGATTGGAAGAGAATCGAAAAGAGAAATGGTGCACACTATATAATTTAATAATATGTAAGTCTGTGATATTGCACCAGTCATCTCTCTTACACATATTACGGTTTAGGAATTATACTTCTAGACTGCAGGGACTCAGTCATCTGTGGGAAATGTTGATTTCACAAGAAAAGCCATAAAAAGTTATTGTTTAAGCTTGAAATTAACCTTTTTAAATCTAGAACGTTCTTTTAAAATGTCACTGTGTCTTGCAGACAAGCACAAAAAATGGTCTGGATGTATTCTTTCCTTTTTTCGTTATCAGAATTATAGGAATCATGACGAAAACTTTAGTATGAAGTAAAATAAACAATGGATAGGCTTCCTAGGAGAGTCTGATTTAGGGGAAAAAAGCTCCTCTTGTAATTTTAGGTTAAGCCAAGCTAATGGTTTACCTGGTCCAATAAGGTAATAGGTTTAAACACATTATATATAATATGATGCAGATCATGGGTTAAAAGTATGGCGATATCACTGAAAATCAGAAAGATGACCGACCTCAACTACTTTCAGGAATATAATTCTGTCAAAATGGATAAAGCAGAAAGAATAGAAAATAAATGGCTTCTGCAACAAGTTTTGCTTCGTAAACTGGTATTTTCCAGGGGAAAGGGAATCAGAGCAAAGGAAATGGATGGGGCCCCAGGCTTCCTTCCCTCCTCTTCCAGAGGAAGATGCCTCTGTTCCGTCATCGCCTAAGGTCCCATTTATGCCTTTTAGCTCTGAGTCATGTCCATGACTTGCTTAGTGATTAAAATACTCAGGATTCTGCTTTTGTTTCAATCTTGGCCAGCTACTTATGGATGACTTATTTAATGAGTCAGGCTTGTTTCCTTTTCCTTTTCTTCTCTTCCTCCTTTTTTTCCCCCTTGCAGGCATAGCCAGACAGGTTTTGAAGTACTAATGATGATTAGTTCATTTAAGCCAGCACAGACCAACAATGGGTTTGAAATGTTAATCAGATGAAGGGTTTACTGCTAAACAGCCCACAGAATAGCAAATGAACCAGGAAAGGAAAGCAAGGAGAAAAAGAGGCTGAGTGGAGATTTGACACAAGCATTTTCAGCTGCTGGGCCTCTTTGATGTGTGAGTGGGACAGATGTGCTGCTCTTCTCCTGAGAGAACACTCTTTGTGCACAATAGTGCGCTGATTAATATCACTTCACTCTTCCCTCGAGAGGAGCAAGGCTGGCTCTTAGTCATTCTCTCATTGGGCATCATTGGACCCTCTTCTTCCTGCTGATAGGGAATTGACATTCAGTTTCTCTTGTTTGTCTAAAAGCTCAGACTCACAGAAAACTCATATTCCTCCGGTCTTCACAGCCCCAACAGTGTGTCATGGTGAGGTCATTTATATCACTCTTATATGTAAAGGCTACAGTAGATTAAACCATTAATGCCTAGAAGACACATGAAGATACGATTTTAGAACCCACAGAGATGAGAAGAAACCAATTAGGTCAAGGCAATTTTTCCACTTTGAGTATTGCTGCTGTGCTCCAGTAGAACTTTCTGCAGTGAAGAAAATGTTCTATGTCTGACGTCCAGTGTGGTAGCCACGAGCCACATGGCCTAGTGAACATTCGAAGTGTGGCTAGTGCAACAAAAGAAATGATTACTTTTTTAAAGAGATGGGGGTCTCACTATGTTGCCCAGGCTGGTCTTGAACTTCTGGTCTCAAGCAATCCTCCCACCATATCCTCCCAAAGTGCTGGGATTACAGACATAAGCCACCATGCCTGACCAAAAGAAATGAATTTTAATGTTATTAATTATATTTAAATGTAAATAGCTATATGTGACTATTGGCTACCACATTGGAGAATGTACCTCCAGAAGGTCTAGAGCTTTGCCACTCAAAGTGTGGCCAAAAGACCAGCAGCATTAACATCACATGGCACCTTTTAGCAATGCACAATCTCAATCCCCACTCCAAACTTTTGATAGTAGGTTCTGTATTTAAGGATATTCCCCTCTAGTGACTTGGATACACACTAAATTTTGAGAAGCCTTGCTCTGGAGCATGGGTTAAAAGCTAGATATCCTAAAGCTGAAAGTTTTCATGAAATGGCACAATAATGATGCTGAACTGTTTGGTTATCTGCCTCCTGAAAAAATACTTTTTCTAAAATGCAATGGAGTCATTCCTGGTTTCTGGGCTCATGAAAACCTTAAGTGGTCATGGGGGCCTGGTATTTGGCAATGGAAATTTGTAAGGGTAAAGATTAGGAATGTGTTAGGCCCTAAAACTGCACCAGCTAGCTAATATTTGTGTAGTCTCTAACCATTTACAAAACACTTTCATAAATGTTATGTTTGGTATTATCTTTATCTCCATTTGTTGTGTGAAGAAATGGTTTCAGAGGATTTATCACTGAGCATAGTTGAGTGCCAGGTTCATGGTCCAAGTCCAGACCTTCTGTTTCTTGGGTCTTTCTACTCTATAGCAAAGTGAGACGAGCCCATATTTCTTTGAGAATCTTGTATTGACAGAATTTAGAAACTAGCTGTATGTGAGAATTTCAAGTCTATGTCTAAGCTATAAAAACAAAACAAAAGGCTATAGGCCCCCTATTTTCTTTCTTCTCTCAAGATAGTGTCTTCTGTATTATAGTTGCTTTAGACATTTGAGTTTCATATCTCATTTACATGTAACCCATTACGTGTCACTTTTTTCCCTTTTATGAAGACCAGAATAATACATTGTGATTTTGAAAACAATACCGAAAGTTATCCAAGAAACCAGTTGGATTTTATTCAACAGGTTATTTTGAGTATTTTCCAATTGAGAAAAACTCAGCGGGCTATAATTCTAGTTTACCAAGTTATGAAAGGTCAGTGTGGGTACATTAAATTTCAGGTAAAAGAGAGCCAGGCAAGTTTCTTAAGTCTGAAAGAGGAAATTTATGGATCTATAAATAGAAAAGGTAACTATGCCAAAATTAAACTTTTTGGTATCATACTCTTACCTCAACCTCAAGAGATTGTATAAGCTGGTATGATAATAACAATTAAATGTGTTTATGTAAACTCATCAATGACAGATCATGATTGGACTTTTAAATAAGTCTGGCAATATTTGGATATGTGCCTCACATTCAAATGCTGATGTGACACAGTAAGAATTCTTTTCTGTAAATCATCTTGGATTGCCTCTGTCAAATTTAAATTCTTTGTAGAATATGCCACAGATCTGACTTTTGGTACTTCTTACAGTCTTAATCCAGGATCTAATGCAAATTAAATAGTTTATTATTTTCATATATTCCAGAGAATTATATCTATTCAGCCTGCAACATAGATTCTGATTTTTATTCCTGCCATCAAAATTCAGATTGGCAAACACAGACTCCTGAATGTTTTTCCATATCCTTCAAGTTCCATATCAGATTGGCAAACACAGACTCCTGAATGTTTTTCCATATCCTTCAAGTTCCACATCAGATTGGGATAGGCATGTGGAAATTGAATTATTTCATTGGTATTTGTCATTCCATCCAAATCTCTTACCAAACTTGCTCAACATAACCCTTTGATTAACTTATCACTCTGACATTTGTAGGGGTTCCCTCACCCTCGTACAGAGAGGGTATTACCCACCAACACAGCAGGATTTCAACAAAGCAGAGTGAAGCCTTAATTACAGATTTAATGAGGAGAAAGCCTGATCTTCATTTCTTGCTGATTTCCCAGCTGTAGGATGATATCTGATTATTTCTATTACGCCAATGGTTTGCTTTCCATCTGCTGCTGTCACCACCATCACTTTCGTTGGGCAGCTCTCTGCCGGTCTTCCTATTCTTCCTTGGTATATTGGCTCCGAGAAAATGAAAATGTCAAACTCAGATATTCTCTCTGCTTTTGTTAGAGAGAGGTATCCTAAGAGACGTATGGCTCTACCTTTGCTGAATAATTACAGTTAAAAATAAAATGTATTTCTGATTTCCTAAAGAAACACAATATATATATTACTCATTTCTCTTAGAGTGTCAAAGGGGATTACATTTCACTTTTTATTATATCCCTCTCTTTTATCTGGTAAATTTTGAAAAGACTATCCAGAGGATAAAAATAAGTGTGGCCCTTTTTGCTCTAGAATATGACATTTTCAACCAAGCATTTGTATTTTTAAAGTTTGAAATTGGATAAAAAGAAGCAATATGTCTCTACAACCTGGTCATTTACTTAACCGCTCTGTGCCTCAGTTTTCCTCATCTGTAAAATCAAGGCAATATCGGTATTAGTCCATTTTCACACTGCTATGAAGAAATATCTGAGACTGGGTAACTCATAAAGAAAAGAGGTTTAATTGACTCACAGTTCTGCATGGCTGGGGAGGTTTCAGGAAACTTACAATCATGGTGGAAGGCATATCTTCACAGGGTGGCAGGAGAGAGAATGAGCACAAGCAGAGGAAATGCCAGATTCTTATAAAACTGTCAAATCTTGTGAGAGCTCACTCACTATCACAAGAACAGCATGGGTGAAACCACCCCCATGGTTCAATTACCTCCCACCAGGTACTACCCTTGACATGTGGGGATTATTACAAGTCAAGGTGAGATTTGGGTGGGGACATAGATCCAAACCATGTCATTATCTATCTCATAGGATTGTTGGGAAATGTAAATGAAATTAATAAAGTGCTTATCACAGTTTCTGTCATATAGCAGGTTGCCAATAAATTTTATTTATCATTTTAAAGAGTATTATTAAATATTCTCTAATAATAGAATGTCTGTTTACACTATTATTGTGCCAGGCTGGAGTGCAGTGGTGCAATCATGGCTCACTGCAGCCTCAAACTCCTGGGCTCAAGCCAACTCTCTGCCTGAGCCTCCCAAAAGCTAGAACTACAGGCACGGGCCACCATGCTTGGCTAATTTTTTTTTTTATTTTTATTTTTGTAGAGACAGTGTCCTTGCTATGTTGCCCAGGCTGGGCTGGAACTCTTAGCCTCAGTGATCCTCTCACCTAAGCCTCCCAAAGCACTGGGATTAGAGTTGCGAGCTATCATGCCCAACCTCTTCAATTTTAGACAATATTAATTATTTTTTAAATTAATTAATTCGCTTTTTTTATTTTTTTCAACTTTTATTTTAGGCTTAGGAAGTTCATGTGCAGGTTTGTTACGGGGTAAATTGTGTGTCTCTGAGGTTTGGTGTATGAATGATCCCATTGCCCAGGTAGTAAGCACAGCACAGGATAGTAATTTGTCCAGCCCTTATTCTCCTCCCACCCTCCCCTCTCTAATAGTCCCCAGTATCTATTGTTCTCATCTTTATGTCCATATGTACTCAGTGTTTAGCTCCTACTTATAAGTGAGAGTGTGTGGTATTTGGTTTTCTGTTTCTGCGAGAGTTTTGTTAAAACTCTTTAACAAACAAGAGTTTAAGAAACTCTTGTTTCTGCCAAGTTTTGTTAAAAAAAATCCTTAAGTGACTAGAAAGAAAATTATAGCTCAGCAAATTTGGCTGGCATATAATGAGACCTTGAAAACCTTAGGAAAACCATTTCTCACCAAGAGGACTGGTTAAAGAGCAGAAGCAGAAGCTGCTGTTACAGGATATGCAAGGAAGATACATTTGACCTTCAAGCCAACACATGGCATTTTTCTTAGACAATCATTTTATACTAGCTTTCTTATGTTACTAAATATCCAAATAAAGTGAAATAAAATCCAATATTGATTAGAGTTATCATTTCATAACATAAAAATATGAAATGGATGCTTTGGAAAGCCAATATGTCCTGTTGTTCTTGGGCTTAATAATGTGATAAATATTGAATTGCCATGACTTGTTTTATATTTAATATACTGGGTTTTCAAATGCTACATGCCTGAATTATTATTATTCTTGATATTCCAAACACTTGAGGTCAGAGCTAAAGTCTTATTTATCCTTGTATCCAGGCCTCACCAAACACACATGAACATGCGCGCGCACACACACACACACACACACACACACACACACACACAGAGCACAGAATATTATACATTTAGGTGCTAATTGGGCATCAGTACAATATTTTGCACTTATGAATATATTCATTTTCACTTTTACTTAATCACTCTCTTACTTATTGTTCATTCAGTAAACACCTTCTCATTCTTTAAAATAAAATATTCTAGAATAGTCCATATTTCTGCCCTTTTTTGAATTTGCCACTTTCTACCTCATGGCTTCAGCATCTCTGTCTGGCTTTGCAGCCTATAGTGCTGGAAAGAATGAATCTGTATTCTTTCTGATTCCATATTCTCCCTTTTCTCACTTCCAACACTGTCCCATTTCTACTAACCAAGAATTCTAGAACTACCTCCCACTGACCATCTGTCTTCTTCTGTTAGGCTCACATCTTCAATAAGGCCTTTTCTGGATCAATAATGTACCTCCTGTGGGCCAAGGCACTTTCTACTTCTGCTCTTTTTCAAGGCCGAATGCATTATAGGCACCCAACTGTTATTAACAGCAATAAGAATAAAACAGCCAAGGAAAACAAAAATGCATCTCTGCACTCCTCATGTAGCTCATCTTTTCTACTTTATTTGGTCAAATAATTTTACTAGTCAGTTTTATTTTCAAAGAAACTTTCTATTTGGTTTTCCTGGTTCTAGTTCAGTGTGATATTGTTTTGATTCACAAAGTTGACAAGAAAGTATCAATAAGAACCAATTGTGATTTAATTTAATAATATAAAAATAGAAGAAATTTTATTCTTAATATGCATAGAAAATATTTTTAATTGATTACTTGTTTTATATTTCATATACTGGGTTTGCAAATGCTGCATGTCTAGCTGTAAACTAGACACTTTACACAAAGTACATTATTTTATTTAATTCTAACAACAACTTCATAAAGTAGATATTATTCATCTCGCTTTTCAGATAAGGACACCAAAGCTCAAAGAAGGGAGTCAATGTAGAGGCAGGATTTTCATCAAAATTTTCTGGCTTCAAAACTCACTCCAACAGTTTCTGAAAGTTTGGTGTTTGAGCTTCCCTAGGTATTTTTTTAAAATATTCAAACTCACAAGCCCCATCTGCAGGAGATTCTTATTCAATAAGCCTAGAGTAAATCTCAGGACTTTACTCTGTGAAACCACCTCTTCCTCTTCAAGTTCAATGTTAAAAACCAGAGAATTGTATGTAAAATAATTTGAGAATGTTTGGCCCCTCTCCCAATGATTTCTATAGTCATTGCGTTAAACATTGGGTTAAATATTATTTCTAGAAGTACTCATTTTATTGAATGAGAATATGTTGTTGCCATTTTCCCAGACTCACAGAATAATTTTGCTTGTAGTTGTCTCAGTCCTAGCCAGTACAACTGTTGTTTCCATTAAAGACTTCTTTTAATATACAGTGATTATAAATGGCATAGAATAACCCAATAATATCATATGGTAATATTAAATATGGACTTGAGTAAGTCATATGTGGCGAATACAGTATTAGGTTATTGCATGAGAGGAAGAGAGCTGAAAGAAAGTGGGAGGTTGTAATCCCACCCTGGAAAAGATATTTTGCTCTCAGAGAAAGAAGGACTCAGAGAAGTAATTACATAGGAAGACAATGATGAATGAATGGGCCAGAGGATAAGGAAGACAGAAAAGAACATGCTACGTTAATCTGTGCCTTCGATCTACTGGCTTTATCCCTGGCTCACAATGAAGTCTCAATACATGCTAGTTGAATTAATAAATGGATGAGTGAATCATGGCAAATTTTAAAAGACGATGAAAGAAAGCGAAAAGACTGGACAACCAAAATGAGAAGAAGGAATCATGGCCAGGGTGAAGAGAATTGGTGCTCATGCAGAAACAGAATGACCCCTCATGGACAGAAAGACAGAAGAAGCAAAAGAAAAGCCCTGGCAAGAATGCTTCCCTTTGGGTTTGTTGTGGACAGGAGGCATCTCCATTCATTCTGTAGCAGCACTTCATAACTGTGTTTTGCATATGAAAATCTAGTTAAGCTAACAAGGTCCTTAATTAGGGCTTTTATTATCCCTTAATTCCTTGCTTAAAGGAAAATGATTACAAAGCTCATCTTTATGATTTAGGAAACTAATCTTTCATTTCTGAAGTGTTTCTTTCTTTTCCTGATCACAGATATTAAAAGAAAAAGAAATAAAACCCACAGAATGATGTGTAACTGTGCAGTAGTAATAAGGAGAAATACTTGAACCTGTGTATTAGACTCGTTGTGAACTACAGAAAAGACTTCCGTATCAGGCATGACCCTTCTCTGGTTCTTAATTTAATAAGGACCTATAGTGACTCTATATAAAGCAGAACTAAAAATGTCACTGCAAACCTAAATTCTCTTGCATGTATTCTTAAAATTGTAATTATGAGAATGCCCATGGGCCTCCCTCTCATCATAGTGACAAACACCCTTGTTCTTCTGTACCCATGCTAGAGCATTTGCTTTCGTCCAGTTGAGGATCAATCTACACCCATCATTTGAGGCTATAAACCAAAGCATACAACCCTTATGGCACCCCTTTCACCCAGTAGAATTTTCCAGGTAAAATCAAATTGAAATAGAGATAAAAGGGTGGCCTGGAAAGGGGAAAAAAACAAACACAATGCTTATTTGATTAGTCTGAAAAAAGTAATGCAGGATTGCCTGTGTAACTTTTGTGTTTTGTTTTTGAGACAGGGCCTGGCTATCTTGCCTAGGCTGGCCTTGAATTCCTGGGCTCAGCTGATCCTCCCACTTCAGCCTCTCAAGTATTATAGCTGGGATTACAGGTGTGCACCAGCTAATACTGACTGTTAAATGAAGGACAGGCAGGTGTAACCCTTTGCCTTTAGTTCTATAAGCACCTGATGACCATCTACTAGATGTCAGTCTACTGATCATTGTGGGTATAACTATGAATAAAATTTTCTTGAAGAAACAGACATATAAACAAAAATACTTTCAAACAGTGATCAAATTGAATGATAGAGTAAGGATATGGCTGACAGGAGAGTGGCAGTGGGGTTCTGTTGGAAGGTTCAAGGAAGGCTTCTTGCCAGAGATGGCACATAAGCAGTAAGTGCACTTGATGGATTTGAGAAAAACAACTGGAACAGCAATGGAGACTGGGAAGGCCAGGCAAGAGCCTGTTACAGTATCTCCAGTAAGGAGAGATGTGAGATTGGAAGTAGGAAAAAGGTGATGGATATGAAGGTTATGTGGTACCATCCACATGAGTTGGTGTTAGTTGTATGTAGATATATACAGGACAGAGTACAGCAGAGATTCCAGGTTTTATATCTTCATTGAATGGATAGACTGTCATGAATTTAAGAATATGTGGGGACTTCTGAACATTCTGTTTATTAGCCTAAGTATTGGTTAAATGGACCTTTTCACCCTCTAAAGATTCAAGCTGTGCACCTCTGATTCATACAGTTTATTAACATGTACTTAAGTTAAAAACTTAAATTTAAAAAAGGAGTAAAGAGTTCCAGAAAGAAGAGTTTCGATGAAGTTAGAGGCATTGGTGTGTGCTTGCGTGCATGTGTGTGTGTGTGTGTGTGTGTGTGTGTATGTGTGTGTGTGTACAGCATTTTGCTCCTTCTGAGCCTTAGGATGCCTTGCCCACTTTCCCCCTGAATTGCTATGCAGGTATTAATTACTGAGGATGGGTGAAGCCTGGGCCTTCCTTCACTATTTTTTACTGACTACTCTGCATAGCATAGTTATACTTCATGGGTTTCCTATCTTCCTTCAAAGATTATTTGATAAATGAAGGAATAACTCTAGAACTTGCCTAAGCGAGAGTGAACATCAGTGGCCAGATGATGTTAGCTTAGAGGATCAACATGCAAAAATCAAATGTGTTCCACTATGCCAACAAAAACTAATTCAAAATGTAATCAATGAAAATTACACAACTCATAATAAAAACAAACTGTAAGATGACTAGAAATAAATATTAAAAATAAGCACAAACTTTATGAAGAAAATTTTAAATAATAAGGATATGCTATAGACAATTAAAATTATACAATAAAATATGCGTATAGTTGAGAAATCTCAATGTCTTAAATTGTAAAAACCTTCCTGAATTAAATTTTAAATGTAATGTAATTTCAATAAAAATTCAGAGTATTTTTTGAACTCTGACAAATTGACTCTAAAATGAAGTATAATGATCTTGTTTTTAAACAAAGCAACACAAAAATTTAATTTTAATTGTTTCTTTGCTAATTTCACTTTTTTGAAATATAAGTAAACTTGTAGCAGCAGTGTTTACTAACTATAATGCTGAAGTAGCTTGTCTTCTTAAGCCTATATTTCCTCAAGGTGTGAAATGGAGGTGAAATGGTACCTACCACAAAAATTTGACAAAAAACTCATGTAAGATAACACCTCTAAAGTATTAATCAAATAAAGCTGTTAGGAAGTGCTTATTCAATATAAGCTATTATAATTGAATAAATAAAAGTATATTGACTCTTAAGCCTTTGCTCTTTTCGATAGAATGCAAATTTCTTCTATTTCATCAATAGTGTTGCACAAAATACACCAAACAAGTACATGTTTATTGGACTCAAATTATTATTAGCATAGACTTCCAATTCACTCATAAGACTAAACACACATTTAAGATCTCTTTCTCTCAGACCCTGTGTAGATAATTATTTTCTTCTTTTTTTTCAACTTTTATTTTTATTTTATTATTTTATTTTATTTTTTATTTTTGAGAAGGAGTCTTGCTCTGTTGCCCAGGCTGGAGCGCAGTGGCGCGATCTCAGCTCACTGCAACCTCCGCCTCGGGTTAAAGCGATTCTCCTGCCTCAGGCTCCTGAGTACCTGCAATTACAGGTGCCCGCCACCATGCCCAGCTAATTTTTTTGTATTTTTTAGTAGAGATGGAGTTTCACCATATTGGCCAGGCTGGTCTTGAACTCCTGACCTCATGATCCACCCACCTTGGCCTCCCAAAGTGCTGGGATTACAGGTGTGAGCCACCACAAGCAGCCTCAACTTTTATTTTAGAATTGGGGTACATGTGTGCAGGTTTGGTACAAAAGTATACTGCGTGATGCTGTGGTTGGGAGTACGAATGAATCTGTAGCCCAGGTAGCAGGCATAGTACCCAGTAGGTGGTTTTGCCCCCTCTTAAATTCTCCAGTGTCTATTGTTTTCATCTTCATGTCCATGTGTACTCAGTGTTTAGCTCCCACTTATAAATGATATTTGATTTTCTCTTTCTGTGATAGTTCGCTTAGGATAAGAGTCTCCAGCTGCATCCATGTTGCTGCAAAGGATATGATTTTTTAAAAATGTTTTATGACCGTGTAGTTCCATGGTGTGTATGTACCACATTTATTATAGCTAAGTTGACAAACTTCTATTTCCTCTTTCAAAACCATTTCAACTCACAGTTTCATCTTATTTTTGCTCTACTCATTATCACTAGACCTTTTTTCCCCCATTTTCTCTGCCTCATATCTTTTCTTTGTTCAGGTCTCTGTTTTTTCCATCAGTGGGAAATTCTTGATAATGAACTCTAGGTCTCTTTGTTTGTTGCTTTTTCTTGAGCAGTTTTCTTCTCTTCTTACCTCCACGTTCAGCCAAGCATTTTTACGTGCCGTTTTCTTATGTGTTTGTGAACAAATAATTGAAATTTGAAAGGTAAGTGCCACAGACCAAAAGAGCCACTCGAATTGCCTCCATCAGGTTTGAGGCAGTAGGCACTGACCTCTGGTTAGAAAATAGGGTTCCTAGAAGTGATGCTCAGGTTCCAATCACAAAGGATATTTTGCAAAAGCAAGAAAAGTTTTAGATTATTCTAAATAAAACTTAGACAATGTTAAAATGATATGAATTAACAAGTCCAAATGTGGCTGCCTCTTGCAGTTTGTAAGGCGCTGTCTGTACACATTGTTACTTTTAAGTACACTTAGACAATTTTGATTTATCCTCAGCAATTATCAATTATCACTTAACTAAATCAAACCCTTGGATTCCTTCCCAGACCTGAATTACAATTTCCTCTTATCTTTTTGTGAAGGCTAGGAGCCCCTGGACTATGCCATTGACAGTGGGACACCTAAGCTAGTTCAGGCTTTGCTAGGAAAATCCCCACCAGCTGTTCCACCTGATGCTGAGTTAATTGCCTTAATTAGCTTTCTTACAATAGCCTTCTTAATCAGTTCTTGTGAGGTGATCTTAAACTCGCATCATGATTCCTTTCTTACTACACACTGACCTTTTACAAATACCCATTCAGTCTTTTTGCACAACTGCTCTTGAAGTCTAAAATGAAGAACATAAAAAGCTAGGGAAAAATAAAACCCTCTGCTCTCTGTTTCTTCCGTATTCCTCCCCTGAAACTGTGACCCTTAACTTCTAATGAAGGCAGGTTATTTTGACTTTCTAAATTACCAACAGCTACATGGTACTCTTTTTTTCCCCCCATGGCTCACTTAGCCTTTCTAATGAATGCTTAATTAACATTGATACGTATTCTTTCTGATGAAACTTGCAGTTTTCAATTTTGCAGCCTGTTGTGATCCTCCCTGTAAAGAGGCTCGACTTTTAGTTATGAAATTTTACAACTTGTGGACACTGTTGAAAGAATAAAGCAAAGCAATTTAAAATTTAGCTCCTTTTGTAGGAATTTCATGCAGGCTCAGGTCTTGATGATGTCAAGGAGGATCATCTCTGTCACTCCCCTGTAATCTGTGACATTAATTTGTCATTTCTAGACAGTAATTAAATTAATTCAACAAGATTTGATTTTCATAAACAAATTAGCCTTGCTTTTGACCAATAACACCTTTTGCCCTATGTTAATATGCATGTTAATTGATATTGTGATTTATTCTAAATGTTCCTAAAATGCTTCAACAATATTTAAGTAATTGTGTATAAATATGCAAAGGTTCTCAAGTCTGGTGAGACAAAACACTAGCACAACACAGCAGGCACAGCACATTACTCACAGATAGACAGCAAGAATAAATAGAAACCTAAAGTCCATGGCAAGCTTGTCCCCCAAGTCTCAGGAAGGCTGCCCGGGGTGAGAAGTGTCTTGTCTGCGAATGCCCCACTTCACATTGTAGCTGGAGGACACTAGAGGCACTCTGCCCTGGGTTTTATAACCTTGGCACAACCTTGCACGGAGCACAAGCATTGTAGGACATCCTGTTCTAGGAAGAAAAAGGACATAGCCTGGAATGTTCCAGACATTTCCTCTTTATCTCAGGACATTTCATTATTGACTTATTCTACAATTATTCTGAGAGCTGCAATAGGCAGGGTGGGGAGAGCTGGGTTAGCCAGCGCTATCTGGAGACCTGTCTTCCTGCAAAATAATGTTAGCTTTTGTGTTTTGAGAATACGTATGTATGTTTGTTTGTGTTCAGTATTCAGTAATCTTAGGCTGTAGTAAAGTTTTCAATTTCTGTCACCATCAAACGGGTATAAAAGAGAAAAAGCATAATACATAATCCTGTTGTCAGCTAACAGGGAGAGCAAGGAGAGAGAGAGAAGCAGAAAGCATGCACTATGCGCTAAGTTATTTTATGGTTAAATAATTATACTGGTGTTAATTTCATGTGGTGACTTTGACTTCATTAACATATATCACATTTTATGGCTATTTTGTCAATTTCTGGATATCATAAAACTATTCACCAGTAGCTTGTCATAATCAATCTTCCTCTTCCTACCCCCCAGCCCATGAAAATGTTTAACTGGATATAGAGTATCTTAACTTTTTGAGTGATTTCTGGGGCAGAGGAGCTGAGGCTGTACAGAGGTGTGGGAAAGATTAGGAGGGAGCTATCTTATGTGGATAAAGTCGTGATGAATAAGTGTAGTATTGAGAGGTGAAGCCAGCTGGACTTCTGGGTTGGGTAGGGACTTGAAGAACTCTTCTGTGGCTAGCTAGAGGTTTGTAAAATGCCCGAATCAGCACTTTGTAAAAACGCACCCATCAGTGCTCTGTGGCTAGCTAGAAGTTTGTAAAGTGGACCAATCAGCACTCTGTAAAATGGACCAATCAACACTCTGTAAAATGGACCAATCAGCACTTTGTAAAAATGCACCAATCAGCGCTCTGTGGCTAGCTAGAGGTTTGTAAAATGGACCAATCAGCACTCTGTAAAATGGACCAATCAACACTCTGTAAAATGGACCAATCAGCAGGACATGGGCAGAGACAAATAAGGGAATAAAAGCTGGCCACCCCAGCCAGCAGCAGTAACCTGCTCGGGTCCGCTTCCAGCTGTGGAAGCTTTGTTCTTTTGGTCTTCACAATGTATCTTGCTGCTGCTCAATCTTTGCGTCTGTGCCACCTTTAAGAGCTGTAACACTCACTGTGAAAGTCCATGGCTTCATTCTTGAAGTCAGGGAGACCACGAACCCACCAGAAGGAATAACTCCAGACACAGTATGCTATGAGAAAGAGAGGTATGAACTGTAATAAATGTATAATGAAATACAAGGAAGATGGTACCAATTTGGGCTTCGTGACTCTGAATATTTCAGTATTGACTGAGCTTTGAACAAGTTCTAAGTAATTTATAGTACTGTTAAAAGCTAGAACCTTTATTCAAGGATTGATTAAATGATTATTTAAATGAAAAGGTGATTATTTAAACTTTAACATTAAAATAGGTATAAACCAATAGCATATGTTTTCTTAAATTTGCTTGGCATTCTACACAGGGCAAGAGTCAGCTTAACCATGGATGCATGTAAATAAAGGAAGAAACTAGAAACAAATGAAATAAAGTCATTGAGGAAGCAGTAAGGTCCTGATACTTTGCAACATTATTGTTATTAAACGTTATTTATTGTTTGTTATATATCAAGTTGGTCCACTCTGATTTCAAATTAAATTTCAAAAACTCAAGTGCTTATACTTATGGCAGAGATATTTATTTTTTTAAATGTCGAGTAATAATTGCTCTTTTACAGCATCACTTCTTTCTAAAGGAAGCAAAAATAAAATTCCTCTAAGAAAACAATGAATTGTTTTACCTATTGGAGTGACGTGAATGAGCTGTGTTAGCTTGTGTGTGGCATATGTAAGAGATGATTGCACTCCTACCTACCTTCTTTGCATGCCAGAATGTTAACTGCAATTGACATTTAGGGTGCCCCTTGGTTCAGTCATTGACAATAGTATTATAATACCTGTTGGGAAATTTCAATTTAGGATCTTACAAAGACTAAATGCATACTATTGAAGGCATTTTAATATAGTTTATTATACCACTAATTTAAGCATAATGAAATGCAATAAGCAATATAAAATATGCAATGCATTTCTGATATTCTAATTTCCTCTCCGTCTCTCTGAAATGGCTATAGTGCACTGTGTCTGCTGTGCTCCTGGTTTCCATTTTCTTTTTATTGTGTTGGTTCTGCTGATTCTCCTCCCTGTCTTCCAGAATGTTCCCAGGCTGATTACTACTTTGAGTAAGGGTCCCTGTTTTTTGTTTTTATTTTTGTTTTGAGACGGAGTCTGTCACCCAGGCTGGAGTGCAATGGCATGATCTCGGCTCATTGCAACCTCCACCTCCCAGGTTCAAGTGATTCTCCTGCCTCAGCCTCTCGAGTAGCTGGGATTACAGGCACCCGCCATCATGCCCGGCTAATTGTTGTATTTTTCTGTAGAGATGGGGTTTCACCATGTTGTCCAGGCTGGTCTTGAACTCCTGACCTCAGGTGATCCACCCGCCTCAGCCTCCCAAATTTTGGGCGATTACAGGCGTGAGCCACCGTGCCCGGCCGGGGTCCCTGTTTTTAATTGCAGAGAAACCTAAGCTTGCCTTCAGTAGTTACTCAGAGTTCAGGTCTTTTTTAAAGATTCTTCACCTGTAGATGAAGAAGAGTTGCATTATGCCTTCCACTGATTAGAGATCAAAGATGAATTCTCTTTGTTTTTGTGGGGCAGATATTCTTTGACTATTTGACAACAGACTCTGAAGTTACATGTATGTGACTGCTGCCCTGAGTATTTTATTGAGCACTGCTTTGTTAGATTTGCCTGGGAAACTCTCCCCCATGTTTGGGTGAGAGAGAGATGGGGTGAAATTTTTCCACCTTGACTACAGCAGGAAGAGTCAGCTCTCAACTGGGGACAGAATCAACAGGATTTTTCATAGGCAGAGACATTGACTGTGTAATATCTGAGATATAACATGGAGTGGCCTTCTTATTTGTGACTACTAGGATCTTTCTTTCCCCACTCACAGTCTGGCATGCTATACATGTATCAATGTTTCAGGACTTTTTTCCTCAAACTGTCTTTGAGAACCTATTACTCTTACATGAGATTATTTGTTTAGACTTGGTTATCAGGTTTTTCAGCCCATGCCATTATTCTTTGCTGTCAGATTGCTTACTGTCAGAGCAGAAACAAGAGCTTAAAGTTTATTGCAGTTGCAACAAATTTAGGTAGGGTTAGCCACTCTTACATTCTTTTGCAGATCTTGACAAAAAGTGGTTGGGCTTTAATTATACAGAAAATTTCATCTATGTGTAACACCACCTTCTCTGGTAATATAAATAAGTGAGTTTCCTGCCATCTGTAGTACTTTTAAATTACGTGTAGTTTACCGAAAGTAACCTTTAGTTGATTCATTAAGCTATACCCATTGTTGAAAATTTATATTATCAACCAGAATTGTCTTTCCAGAAATACCCCTAAGGAACTCCATGGCCTGTTTCAACAAACAGTCATTGTTTAAGGGGGATCTCACCAGACTAGATGTGTCATTTCAATTTAAATATTTTCAGTGCTGCAGGTCACCAAAAGCTGGGACTGACATCTGCTTCTCTACCTATAGGTCTCCGTGCATCTTATTTTCACTGGCCTGTTTGCTCTTGTTCAAAGTAACTGTGAAGTCTCAGACATTGCAGGCATCTGAACTTGTTTTTCTACCTACCAAGCTTCCACTTTATAAAAAAAGTATTTTCTCTGTTTTAAGGACCTTAATTAAAAGGGATCTAAGTAGCTGAGGGATTACTATAGGATCCCCCTTATGAAAACAGAATAAGTCAAGTTATATGGGTTCAAATCTTAAAATAATGAAATTTCCTGCCCTTGGAGGATTAGATAATCTCACACATCAGATAGCTCAATGAAGAGATGAAAATCTTTTAAGAAGTATATAAATTCCTTTATACCTCTTCTGGAGTTGCAGACTGATGTTGTCCAGCATCCCCAGCTACTGTTTCTGCTGTGACACATATGACAGATGACATTCATATACTCAACACACTCCCATAGGCGTACCCAGATTTTGAAAAAACACCACAACATTTATAGTAAAGTCAAGCACTGCAATAATTCATAGTCAACATAATTATTAAAGTGGCATCAGTATCTGTTACTCCCTGTGGGCACCTCAGAAAGGCTGGATGTTAAGCATAAATAATTAATTTCATGCTAGCTGTACCTCCACCCCTATTTTCTGTCAGTCTGGAAAGAGCATGAAATTCCAATGAGTGATAATGACATAATTAAAGATACAATTTTGTATAATTCAAAATTGAATATAATTCTAAATTATATTTATTTTTTAAATTTCCAGACTTTAATATTTGATGATAAGTAGGGAATGACTTTCAGCCACATACCTCACAACCCATTAAGTCAAATGACCATTGATTTGGAGCCTTATGAACTGGGACTGGGGATACAAATCTGCCATATAATCCTGGGTGTTAACAGCAAACTCTTGGAGCCTCAGTATTGGCATCTACTAAAACTGAGATTAAAGGCCTTGACATCATTGAAGATTAAATGAGATATTTATTATACATATTTATTTTTATTAAATATGCTGATGTTTATACATTATTTGGTGCTTCACGATGGCACATTCACACCCTGTGTGTGTGCTTTTATTTGATAATCTTGGGACCTCTGTGAGGTACACATGGCAAGTATTCATTACTTGGTAGATAAAAGAACAAACTAAGGCTATGGCACTAAATTATTTGTCTAAGACCTACCTTTTTCCTATTCCAGTTTGAGTATACCCAAACAGTCCTTATCTCTAGCACTTATGCTTTTTATTTTTTAAAATCTCCATTGTGTAGTAACATATGCTCTCATAAACTAACATTCCTAAGGAGTTTCAGAGAATTTTTAGAACATCAGAAGTTATTACTATCTTCCTGTAATATACACTATTAAAATGAATCACTATGGAGGTAGAGGAAATAATTTATAATAGGGGATTAGATTTGAAGTCAGAAGAAGAAAAGATATAGGAATACATATACATTTTTATATGTAGAGAAAGGCTAATAATTAAGACTCAGAGGAATCACTCCCAGGGCCAGTTTTGACACTTTTATAAATGGTCTAGATGAGGGAATTCACACTAAAATATCTACTAAAAGCAGACTCTGATAAATTATTGACCTGACTTACTGTGCTGACAGTTTCATCTTTCCTAAGGTAGAAGATGTTTTGGGGGAATTGTAACTTTGGGCTTAATTCTAATCTCAAAGGAAAGCTAGCTAGAGATGTGGTAGGGAAACCCACAGAGACATATCTTAATTTTAGGTTTCTGCCAAGCCACCAAATCTGGTGGAGAAGATGAAAACATGGGTTGGGTTATAGTAAAAGAGGTATAACAATCCAAATAATATTAACTTACAAATTCACTTGAACCTGGAAAGAGGTCTCAAAGTATTTAACCTTAACAAGGCATGACCCTGCTCAAGATTTTTATCTGTTATTAACTGTGTCATAGAAGTAACTTTTCCATTATAAATAATAATGTGACAAGAGGTGAATATCAATAATGCATTAATGAGAATGAAGACTTAAAACAATGCTGACAGGCTAAACTCTTGGGCCAACATCAAGATGATTAAGTTGCAAGTCCTGATGATAGTTTTCGTTGTTGTTTAAATGACACCTCATGATGGTGGGGATGTTGCTAATGAGCTGATAAATTAGTTTAATCCTCCTGGAGGGAAATAAGGAAATAAACAACTGAAGCTCCAAAATATTCATAACCTCTAAACTTGCTACTCTATCAGAGAGAATTAGTCTAAGAAAATAATCAGGAACATATCTATTGACAGAAAAAAAAAAAAAAAAAACATGAATAGTCAGTCAGTCAAATTGTACCCCTGCCACAAGGCAATACTATACATCCATTAAAAATATGTTGTATTTACCTATTTATATGAGAATATATCAATGATAAAGCAGTTAAAAAGACTGTGGAAGAATATTATATACTTTATTTTTACAAAATAAATGTTATGCTTATGTAGATATGCAAAGACATGAAAAGAAATGTGTGAAGGGCTATCCAGGAGTATGTCTGTGGTTTCTCTGGTTAATAATTTTAGGAATAAAATTTTCTTCTTTATGTTTATTTATGTCTTCTAATTTTCCATAACATACATGTATTAATTTTATGATAAAAATATTATCCTGAAAATATAAGATTAAGGGGCGTGCCATTTAAAATGAAAACATTTTTCTGGTTATTTGGAGGACAGAAATTTCCACAGTGTGATACAGTAGCTAATAAAAAAGACTGTAACTTAGGTTGCATAAATAACAATAGAGTTTTAACAGCGGCGGGGGGGCTATGAGGGATGGAGGGATGTCACAGAGCTATAAACCCACAGGGTCCTGTGATCCTGCATTACAGGAACTACGTTTCAATAACAACTGCAGCAATATGTATCATTCATGGGGTGGCAACTTGTCATATAAAGAAAAGTTGCAGTAACTCAAGATGTTTTTCCCACAGAATTGACAAATTAGGGATCTAGGTACGATGAGCCAGGCTAACTGTGTTCAAGTACCTGAGGGATAACAGAATGAAAGAAATTCTGATTATCTCTAAACAAAACCTTAAATAAAACACTTGAGTAAATGGGCAGAAGATACAGAGAATAAAATATTCAGAAGGATTTCCTAATGTTTGGAAAACTGTGTGGCAGGCTAGAGTAGAAATAATTTCATTCCCCATCTTAGGCCTGTCGTTTTGGTTCCTCTCTGATGCAAGTGATTGAAAATCCTGCTCAAAACTATGTAAATCTAAAAGGAGATGTAGTGGCTGAGAAGTGGTGGGCTTAATCAAGCTTTAGTTTTGCAGAAGCTACATGCAGGGCTCTGATGATGCCCACAAAATTCACTTCCCCTCCTTTCTTGTGGTTTCATTCTGACAGCAGCTTGGTTTCATGATAGCCAGATGGCTACAGCCCTCTAGATTTCCCACCCTGTATCTCACGTCTAAGGAAAAACCTCCCTTATAAACGGTATAATGAAAATTCCAAACCTGATTTGCCTTACCCATAATTAGCTTCCTTTCCCACTCCTGAGGCAATTACTGTGGTCAGCTGGGTATGGGATAGTTGTTTCATTACAAAAGTCAGTCAGGGCCTACCCTTCCCCCAATTGAAAATAGGGTCAAACTCAGGCAAATTGCCTGGGCTGACAGTGTGGACAGGTTGTTTCTGAAAGATAATTCAGGCTAGTCTTCTATCTGGAAAAAAGACGTCTAGACAATGGGTTGCAAAAATGACAGACGTCTATTAAAACTAGGATGAAAAATGTAACTGGGTGATTTCTTAGGTTCTTTCCAATGCCGCAATCCTATGAGATTGCTATTCAACTTTGCAGTTGGCACTAAGGTTTGTGGGGAGAGGTATACAAAAGGAAACACAGAAGGAATTGTTGATGAACTCCAAGGAAGGTATGATCAGTACTCAAGAAAATATAGCAAATTAGTGCTGTGAGCAAGAAAAGGAATTGATGGGGAGTCCATTTAAAGCATAAATGCCCCTCCACAGTTAGGAGATTTTAAATTTTGAAAAAATTGGGATTTCATCAGCTAATCTGTTTCTCTTCCCCAAAGGACTCTCTGTTTTTACTTAACCAAGTATGCATTTTGTGCAGCTGTAATGCGGTGTCTGTGCATTTCTCTCTTGATGTCACCCCTCCTACTCCCCGACACACAACACCCATGCCTGGAAGTGTGCAAAAAGGAGAAAGAAGCAGCCATCTCTCCAAAACAGACTCCTCCCCACCCCCGCACTTATGCATATTCCAATGTGCCCAAAAATGTGATCAATCATAGATTATTTAGGTTTGACAAATGCTTTTCAAAATTCATGTGATCCCTGGAAGGGTTAAGGCTCATTCACACTCCGAGTAAATTGCTTTAATGAGATAATCAGATCACCAGCTCCTGAGGGCTGCCAGCTCAGCAAAATTTCTTCTGCAAATGTGCACTTTTGTTTTGAGAGTAGGAGGGGGTAGGGAAGGCAAGGATTTGGGAGCAGATGGTGATTTGGGGTATATTTTGGACAGCCAATAGACCTCTTACTTAAAGAAATGTAGGGAAAGGCAAAGGGAAGAACAGAAACCCAGGAGTCATGGATTTAAAAAGGGAGATAGATGCTAATAAAAACAATTTTGCCTAGAATCCTGTCAACTGCTCTACGGACCAGCTTGAATTAATGAACATCTCTGCTTCCCCAAGTCACTGCAGCTCCTCTAATGTCCTGTCATCCAATCCCCACCCATTTTCCACTTAAGAAGCAAAAAGAAATGAAGGAATAAATAGCCTGAGACAGAAAAAAGGAAGAATTTTTATTCATGTGCCTATCTCCTCTCTCTTTCTATTTCCAGTTCTATTTTACGTTTCAATCCCTAGGATTTGCCTTTTTTAGGATAACTACATTGCATCCCCCAGGAACACCAAGGCCAATGCCCTTGTACAAAACCTTCGTTCATCTGCACTATATGTGGTTCTGGTTGATGAACCTTAAAAGAGAGGAAATAGAGCTAGAAAAGGTCTGAAGAAGGGCAGATGAAATGATCAGAGGGATTTTTAAAAAGGGTGCTATGTGAGAGCAGATTAAAATGATTACCTTTCTACATGCTGACCTCTACAAAAAGATAAAGGGCATAGATAAGGTAAACACAAACTGGATGGGTAGAGCCTACAGTGCCATGGCCATGGGAAAACCACAGAAGCTAGCAGGTAGAGAGGTGCGTAGTTGGTAGATGCTACATAGCAGAGAGTACATTTATGCATTTCTCTATTCTTAAATAGTAAAAACTAAGTGAATTTAAACAGATTTTGATAACGTTACAGCTGAAAAACACATAATGAATTATCAAAAATAAGCCAGATGATGTTTACCAGTGCTTATTAACTGTTGCTGTGGATAATGTAAAATAGTGTTTTTCAAATCCATCAGTAGATCAGACTCACCTGGGGGTACTTTAAAACTATACATACATTCCCATAGTTCCAACTAAGACTTAAAAATAAAAATATCTAGGCATGAGACCTCAAAATATATATTTTAAAAGAGATTCTCCAACTGACTCCGATATGCGTAGGATTTGGGAATAGTGTTCAGAGGCTAACCCTGCTACCCCAGAAGGCAGCACTGTGTAATGGGAAAGTATCATGGCATCGGGAAGAACTAATTTAAATTCTGTCTCTGTTGCTTCCCTGGGTGTGACTTGGACAAGTTACCTACCCTCTCTGAGCCTGAATACATCTTACGGGGTGGTATATAGACTTTCTGGGGCATATTCGTGCTGAGTAAATGTTGACCTATGCATTCCCACTCCAACCACCAACCAGGTCTTCTGAGTCATTGAGCACAGAAGCCTGTGCTAGTGTGATTATGGATGTAAGGACATGGATAGTTCTTAGTATATCCAAGTGTTTGTCTCTGAGAGGGAGAGAAGACAGTTTTAAAGAAAACTGTGAATGTAGACATGTTGTCTTTTTCTCTTGACCCTAGCTCTTCCGTGCTTCCCATTACAGGTAGAATAGTGAAAGAAGAAATATATATTTCAGAACTATCAGGTTTAACTTACTGGATTCATGGTGTTTTGAGCTCATTTGTCAATATTTTAGGTTTTTGGCTCCTGTTGAGGCCTGTACCTTTTAAGATTAGTTTATTGACACTTCTGTGAAATTTAAACTAAAGGCAAAAACAAATCAGTGGGGATCTGAACGTGTGTGTGAACACCTGTTGGGCTGGGGTGTACATTCAAGTAGCTGTTGAGGAAACAGAAGATTCCCCACCAAGTTTCAGTTCAAATCTAGAGAAATGAACAGAGAACAGAAAACTAATGAATGGGAGGGAACAGGCAAAAAAGGGCTTCCTTCAAGAGGCAGGTTCAAATAAGGCAAACGCAGGTGTGCCAGGCTTCTGTGGAGCTGGCTGGAGAGGAATGTGAGGCAATGTGAGACAGGGGGAGGAGACAGGCTGGATCCTGCTCCAGAGCCCAGTAGGCGTCATGGCTGCTGCTGGGCCTTAGGACACACAGCTGTTTTCAAATTCTGTTTCCTTGAATGGAAACACAGACTTGTAGGGAGAGAGATCTGTTTTGTGTGGTGAGCAGGAAGGAATGGGGAGGCAGTGAATCTGTGCTACTGAAACTTCCCCAGTGCCACTCCAGAGAATAGTGTGTCCATTTTCCTGAGCCTGTCTTCTCCCAGACATCATCTGATTTGGAGCCTCTCAGGGATTCTATTCAGCAATCTCTATTGTGTACCCATTTCTGTCCCAGACCCAGAGCTGATCGTTGAGGAAGGTTCATACCTCATCATGAAGCAGAGCAAGAATTTTCCTGTTATGTTGCAATTGTGTTCAACACTCAAAGCTCAGGTCAAAAAGTGCTAAGTATCCATATTCTAGATTCCAAGAGCCACCATCAATGGTGATCAGACATTTCCCCAAGGAATTTACTGAGAGGATGCTCTCTGAGGTGAAGCAAAATCAATTCATTGCCCACTTCGCTTCTGACACCTCCACCGTACACACACAGACACATAGAAACACACATCACTGTAAGAAGATTAAGACTCTCAGGTGAGGGGAAATAATCAAAGTTTAGAAAGCGCAGATTTATTTTATTCTACAGTTGGTTGGGATTTGGCCACCTGTTCTACTGATCTGACTCTTTACAACTTGAAGTAGAGATATTTGGAGGGAGATGGCAAGACTGTGAGATCACCTCAGAGTGGCTCCTGCTCTCCTACTATTTGGCATGTGCTATAGATTGAACCTTTGTTTTCTCCCCCACTCTTACAAGATTCATCTGTTGAAATCCTAACTCCCAAGGTGATGGCTACTTGGAGGAGGGGCCTTTGGTAGGTGACTAGGTCATGAGGGCTCTGCCCTCATAGGATTAGTGTTCTTATAAAAGAGACCCCAGAGATCTCTTCTTCCCTTCTGCCATGTAAGGACACAGTGACAAGACAACCGTCTATGAACCAGGAAGTGGGGCCTCAGCAGACACTGAATCAAACGGCATCTTGATCTTATACTCCCAGCCTTCAGAGCTGTGAGAAAGAAATATTTGTTGTTTAAATTTGGTATCTAAGCCACCCAGTCTGATGGATTTTTGTTATAGCAGCACAAACAGTTAAGTGTGGCAATCGTACATGAATTTCCCGTATGTCTCCAGGACACTGAGAAGAAGTTAGGCTTATTACTGGCACTCCACCTAAAGTCCTGGTGAGAAGACTCCACATAAAGGAGCTGTATCCAAACTCCTGGTGGTGAGAAATAAAGACAAAGGACATATTTGAATCACAGCTTTATTTCTCATCTCAGGGAACCAGATAATAGGGAGACACCCCAGGATTGTCCAAAGTGCATATACAAATGTTCCATGAGAATATCAGCTTTTTGATCACTTGCTACCCTGTAGAGTTTTGAGAAGTGGCACTAGCCAATCAATCAATAAGTAAAATAATGACCAGAAACAGGATGAGACCCTCACCCCCAAGAGACACGTAGCCTTCCATATACCTCTGAAGAAGAGTCAGAAATAAAGGGAGAAACAGGTGTGAAAAAAGTGTATGGTCTCTCTTTTCCCCTACTTACACGCCCACCAGAGCCACAGGGGCTAACATGTATTAGGGGCTGGGAAAGACAACTTTGAACTGAGTTTGAGGCTGACATTTTGAAAGGAAAGTGGTAGCATCCTATCTGCCAGAAGTAGATTGTTTTAATAAATGCAAGTGAGTGAGCTGTTAGAATTGGGACTAGTTATTAAGCCAAAGTTTCATTTCAGGAAGACAAAGCATACTTAGAGGACCAAAATTGAAAAAAAAAAAAGTGAAACCATTTCCCATGTATATTCTCAACTCATTGAGATTCCTTAACTAAACAGTTTACACATAAAGGAACCAGACCCAGTGCTCATCCTCAGGATGCTACATTTCAACATGGGTTATAAGACATTGCAAAAACCTAAGGCAGAACTTGGTTCCACATGGAAGCTTTGGAAAGCCTTGAGGACTTGAAAGAAGAATGCTTAGCACTACCCATTGGGGGCTTTTCTGAAGAGCTAGCATTCAAGATGGGCCTTGGAGCAAGGGCTGGCTTTCATCAAAAGGGACTTAAGTGTGTTGGAAAGAGAAAGCAGTTTTGATAAACAGAAGAGCCTGCCTAAGTGGAAGTCTAGATTTGGGAGATGCAGCACGTTTGAAAAACAGTGTCTGATTTGATTAGCCAGGGGCAGTGGTGAGAGACAAGGTCTAAAAGGAAGGTGTGGGTAGGCAGGACCCTTAAGTAGTTTATAGTTAGTTTGGAAAAAATGTAGAAGGTGTTTTCTCATCTGTCCTCTGTTTTGGGAAAAGGACTCCAGCTCTGTTTTACTTTAATTTAATTTTACTTTAATTCTTCACAATTTTATGAGAGATACATAGATACATTCTTAACATAGGAATTACAATACTGAAAAGAAAGACAAACTCCCTTTACCAGCATTGTAGACTTTTTCCTCTCTCTGTCTCTGTCTCTCCTCTCTCTCTCTCTCTGTGTACATATAATACACACACAAACACATTCTTATAGGTATGTGTATACATATATGCCCAGTATATATCCAAAGTAGAGTACGATGTGTAAGATATTGTTATTTTTCTCTGACGTAGCTTTTTAGTAGTATTAAACTTGTCTTTTTTATATCAAATTATTTTTTTAACATATACCGTTTAAAGTAGACCAAAGAAAATAAAGCGTATTGTTAAGAGTCTGGATTGTGAAGCCAGACTACATGGGTCTATGTATTGTCTGTGAGACCTTAAAGAAATTATTAATCTTTCTGTTTCCCAGTTCTTCATCTGTACAACTGGGATACAATAGGTTTGTATTCTACTTTTTGTATACTCCCAGCTTTGTTGTGATAATTATTTAAGATGCATAAACCATTTGAAATAGTGCCTGACATCTTGCAAAAGCTATATGTGTTATAAATAGATCAAGTTCATTCTTTAACTGCCACAGTAAATTGTAACATGAATATATCATATTTTATTTAGCAATATCCTTATTGATTGACATCTAGACTCTTAATTTTGTGTTATTGCAAATAATCCTGCTATAAATATTTAATCAATTTATAACACATGTTTTTAGAACATGTGTTAGGATTGGTATGGCAAATGCTATTATTGTAATAAATGCTCTTAAAATCACATTGATGCTAAGAATTTAATGTAATTTCTTTCTGATTTACACACTTGAGATCATTTTTCCCATCTCTGAAATGACTTGAGAGAAGCTGTATCCCAAAGATTTAATGAGGTTATGTCCCTTTTAACTGTCAAGAGCTTCCCATTCTCTACCCTGATATTCTTTTGAATTGTTGATAATTAATCAGGAACATCAGTGGTGAAATGTCACATAGATATCACTCCAACCCTTCGATCTGTAGCTTTAAAGGGAGATTTTTCTCCCTGTCTGCTGGCCCTGTCATTGCCAAGTTTCCCTCTTATTAACCTTGAAGTCACATGGAACAGCCTCTCCTGTGATTTCATCATATCTCCCATCTGAAGAGATGCTATCACACTCCAAAAAAAATAAATTAAAAGGACCATATCACCCCCACACATAGGCAGGTCACAAGTTTAATTTTTTTCCCCCAATGGGACTTCCTGCCCCACCTACCACAGACAAATCCTCCCAGACTTTGCTGTGGGTCTTATAGCACATCAGTTTGCCTAGACAATTTGATCATTTTAATTTTAAAAGTATTCATGAAATTGTTTTCTTCTGTGTAAGCTAGTCTTCTCTGAGCTTTTTGGAAAATGAACTATCTGCTTCCTTTAACCTTCTCTTAAATTTCACAATAGTGGTCTTGATTAATAAACAATGGTAAAACACATTTTTATAGAATATTTCTACCATCTCTGTAAACTGTACAAAGTGGAAAGGGGTCTTTGTCAGGTATAAATGAAAATATATCACATTCACAGCTTTTCTTGGATTTAGCACGGTTGTCCACATATAGGTCTGACCTTCGGCAAAATGGTGAAGGCTGTGGAGTTTGACTTCAGCATCTTGAATTTTCTTTTAAATATTAAAAAAAAAAATCCCTGGCTGCTTTAGGTTATAGATGTTCCTCTGTTTTCTATAATATTTTCAGTTAAATGCCTGTGCTGTCTACACTACTGGAAATATTAGAATAATGAAACAGCAGCAGAATTTTTAGAAAAAAGCAGTAATTAGCAAGAAGGGTAGTGGCAGAGACACGGGAGTCAGAGCATGACCTTGGTGTGGGAGGAAGAATTCATTTGGAGTGATAAAGTGGAACAATTGTCAGCAACAGACATTAAAGTAAATGCAAGGTCTTGCTTTATTTCCAAAGCATCAGAGGCTGCATTTGCACAAAGCTGAGGGTCAAAGCAGTCTGAGTAACAGCCTTCAAGATAGGACTGTGGAAAATGCAAATTAGAAGCTTCCAAGCTTGGGTCAGAATTGAATCAAGGTCCACAGAACTGGGATCAAACAGAAATCAAGTCTGTAAGGGGTAAATCTCTGGAATATTAAAGGGTCAGACTGGAGAGCAGGAAGATTAGTTGTTATATGGAAAGTTGCAATCACAAGGTTTTTTTGTTTTGTTTTCTTTTTTTCCCTCCAAGGCAGAGTCTTGCTCTGTTGCCCAGCCTGGAGTACAGTAGTGTGATCTCAGCTCACTGCAACCTCCGCCTCCCAGGTTCAAGCAATTCTCCTGCCTCAACCTCCCGAGTAGCTGGAATTACAGGTGCCCACCACCATGCCCGGCAAATTTTTGTATTCTTAGTAGAGACAGGGTTTCACCACGTTGGCCAGGCTGGTCTCGAACTCCTGACCTAGTGATCCGCCCGCCTCGGCCTTCCAAAGTGCTGGGATTATAGGTGTGAGCCACTGTGCCTGTCCTTTTTTTTCTTTTTCTTTCTTTCTTTTTTTTAATTGAACAAGGAAGGCAATTCTCTTTTACTCAATTTTATCAAATTCTTGAGTCTATGGTTTCCTAGAAAATTAAAGGCAAAGCGTTCATCTTTAGCCCCTCCTGTTCACAGGCATTCCTCATGCAACTCTTTTTGCAGTGCTCTGTTTTTTGGCAAGCTCTGGCCTTTTCTGTATGCTGTATACTAAAGGCCTGGAAGCCCCCTCAGAGAAGTCATTTAGTCCTACTGAACATATAGGCACCACCCCCACCCTCCCTTAAGAACTATACCTGATGTAGTCATCAGGTATAGTTTTCCCAAGGAAAAAGCCATAAATGTATCCTTTTCCCAAGGAGAAAGTCATAAATGACAGTACTCTAAAAGACTGGACTTAATGGAAGCCCCAGAGGTCTAGTCCTATGACTTCCTGAGGGTAAAAGGACTTTTTTCACCAGCTTCTTCCAGTACTTGGAGCTTTTTCTGCCTTATCATGATTTTGTCCTGAACCTCTTTCTGTGTCAGTTGTATTTCAACACACCCCTAACTTCCCACATACTCCCTCAACTTCAAGACAAACCTTGATCTTCTAACTCTTTTCCACCACTATTAGGTACCTGTTTTGCATTTTCTGGCACATTTGACTTTGTTTTTAATAATAATTATTTTTAAAACAACTGTCTTCCATTCTTGACATCTCAGAATATTTTTGGCTTTTATATTATTTCTGCCTTTATTTATGAAGCTCCTGATAAAATGAAGGATTACCATTCAGTTTCCACTTAATAAAGGTATCTAAACCAACTTTTATCCCAATTAAAATGAAGAGCATGCTGGTTTATTTGAAAACTGGAAAAGTAAGCTTTGAGGGCATCATAGACAGACAATTTTAAGATTAGGTGTATATAAAAATACCTGCAGAGTAGGTTTTGACCCAAGAATCAACATTTTAATCATCACCCCAGCTAATTATGACACAGATAATACTTGGATTACGCTTTGTGAAATATCACAACGTTTTCTACTATTACATGGATGTTGTCTAGATCAGCAGGTATTTAAGCTAATTTACTCTTTTATAAAAGGCAGTGCCAAAGGGGTTGCAGCATAAGATGAGCCATAATGCTATGAAATGTTCTTTAAGGTAAACTTAACAGGAGATTCTTGACACTGTGTTTAACCAGATGTAGAAGGATACCAGACGCTGATGTCTGAAAACACAGAGCCCTGAATTTCATCTCTACTAGTAGTTTCATGTGTTATTCAGCACGTCCTTTAATTAATTTTATTTTATTTATTTTATTTTATTTTTATTTTTGGCGACAGAATCTCGCTCTGTCCCCCAGGCTGGAGTGCATTGGCGCGATCTCAGCTCACTGTAACCTCCGCCTCTCGGGTTCAAGTGATTCTCATGCCTCAGCCTCCCAAGTAGCTGAGATTACAGGCACATGCCACCATGCCCGGCTAATTTTTGTATTTTTAGTAGAGACAAGTTTTCGCCATATTGGCCAGGCTGGTCTCAAACTCCCAACCTCAGGTGATCTGCCCACCTTGGCCTCCCAAAGTGCTGGAATTACAGGCATGAGCCACTGCACCCAGCCCCCTTAACTCATTTTAGAGTCCTTTTTCATCTGTAAAATGGTGATCATAAAAATATTTACCATACAGTGTTGCTGAGAAGATAAAATGCATTAATTTATGGAAATAGCATAATTTCTAGCAATAGCAGGATTTCCTCAAATAGTATCTACACCAACCCTTGTTTGCTTTCTGATTTCTATAGTTGCAGGCATAATTTGAGTACATGTATGCGAACTCGTATGTGCATACACACACATATCCATACACAGAGAGACAGAGAGAGAAAGAGGCAGAGGGACAGCGACAGCGACAGAGAGAGAGACAGATACAGAGAGCTTGACACGGACTTTTGGTTTTGGAAGACCTCTAGCCTCAAAGGTTGCATATCTAATCTTACCAGAAAAAAATTCTAGGTAACTATTTTAGGTACGTACGTAAAGAACATAAATGTGCATGAGTCTAATCTGAGGGGAAAATAGCTGGGGCTAGGTGTGAATTCTATCTTTGTAATGAGTACTTCTATCTTTTGATTCATCCTCTCAGCAAGTAAGGGATTCCTTCTCACTGATATTTCTTCAAAAGGCGTCCTGTGACTGCCTATGCTCCACCACAGAATTGCTCGTGAATGAATATACAGAGCACTTCTAAACAAAAAAAAAAGAAAGCAAAACTATTCTCATATAGTCCTAAGAATACGGCTTTGAGACAATCCAAGAATGAATATTACTACACTGCTAAACTATTGGGAGATCTCTGCATCAGTGTTCCACAGTGTCACTTGACCTTTGTGACTGGTAATAGATAAAAACGTGGGCATGGAGTTGAGTTAGCAAAGTTGAGGTGGTGTAAAGTGGTCTTCTAAATGACCCAAAATATACTTATGCAGATTCCTTTCACTTTGTTTCATTTTATGCAATTTAAATAGCAGATTAAAAATCATAGAATTTGGACCATCAGAATTCATGTGAGAAAGATGACTATAAACTGAAAAGCATCTTGAGACTGGCCTGTATAGATCTGAAGCCCTGCAGGAAGTGTGTTTTAAGGTCAGCCTTTGTCTTCATACTATAAGGGTGGCAAGAATACACTTCTCTTCACCACCACTTTGAAGCTGATCCTTTTCCATTTTTTTCTCACGTAAATACTCTCAGGGCCTTTTAAGAGAGCATAATAGGCATGTATCTGTGGTTTTCGGCAGGACAAGAGTGCAGTCAACTATTGGTTTCTTATTTTGTTCCTGGTACAAATAGTCTGCAAGCTAAACATAATCTCATCATACAATTCAGCATTTGTGCTTGTAGGTATTTATCTAACTGATTTGAAAACTTATGTCCACACAAAAACCTTCATGTGAATGTTTATAACAGCTTTATTATAATCTCTAAGAACTGGAAGCAACCAAGATGTCCTTCAATAAGTGAATGAATAAACAAACTGTAATTAGATCCATACAGTTATTCAATGATTTTTTTTTAAAAAATGAGTGATCAAGCCATGAAAAGACATAGCAAAGCCTTAAATGCATATTGGTAGGTGAAAGAAGTCAATCTGAAAAGGCTGTATACTGGATTATTCCATTTATATAATATTCTAAAAAAAAATGACCTTTAGAGATGATAAATAGATCGGTGATAGCTGAGGTTTATTGAAGGGGGACAGTAGAATAGGTGAAGGTGAAAAACAGGATTTTGTAAGGTGGCGAAACTATTTTGTATGATAGTGTACTGTTGGATACATGACAATATGCATTTATCCAAACCCATAAAATTTTACTACCCAAAGAGTTATACACAGTAAAAATCATCTAGGAGGTCAGGTGATTCCAGGCTGTAATACAGACTGTGACAAAGAGTTTACCATATTGAAAATGTATGAAAAATCTAACTGAAGTGGATGGGGGAAAAGGGACAGATCTAAGTGCCTTTAGAAATTAGTGTACAATATAAGATTAATGGCAAAAGGAACTGTAAGCACTAAACCCAATTGGCAAAGTTCTATTCCGTAGTGGTACGGGCTAGCAATTCTGAAACCACTTTACATATATACTGGAATTGTGCAGTTAAATAAATTAGATAGCTTATGGCATCAGCTAGGTTTTTCACTGTCGGAGTTGGAGAGTACCGGTGTGCAAGGTGTAAGGGAGGCCAGAATGATCCATGTAGTACAGGTTGACAGTTGGAAACATCAATATGAACTCATATTTACTTTAATAGAGATGGATATACCTAGAGGTATTTATGGACACTTGTGTGCACATCAGTTAGCGTAGATACATATATGTTGTTGCTCTGTCAGCTGAGTGGGCCTTGAGGAAAGGCGACCCAGTAGTAATAAAATACCCAGAATTCAGATATTGGTTTCTAATGCCATTCTCCAATAAAATAAGCTAGGGTCCCTTGGAGAAATGTCTGATTCTAGGGCTGGGTCAGGGAATGTATACGATGAGCGTAGAGCTAAAGACATGCACACAAACAAAACAAAACAAACAAATGATTAAAAAAATTAAAACCCTCCACAATGATGGAGAAAGGTCAAAGAAATACAGAAGCCAACAGGGAGAGTTCCCAATACCCAAAGCTGGAAGGATTTGAGCAACAAAATGAATAATGTAGTGTTGGATTACAACCCAGAGAATAAAATAAGTATCTGTGAATTCATACTGATATAAATAAATGATTAAATAAATAAATAATTAAATAGGAGAGAAGAACCAAATCGCAAATCTCCCATGCAGAAGAATTACAAATTATTTATACGAATATTTCCCTCTCAAGAAGGTAGAGCATAATTCCCTACCTTTTAAATATGGCTGCATATTGTGACATTCTTTCAAAGATTGCAGTATGGAAAGAGGGAAAAACAGCTACTTCACAGTGGAGAAACCTGACAAACACTACGTCAGCCAGGTGATGAAGGTCATCGAGTCATGGGTCATGTTGATAATATGTACTCTTGATATGATGACAATGGCACCTTACCTCTGTGGTTTCCCCACCCCCAAACTCAGAAACTCTCCCAAATAACCTCTGTTTAACCATAAGAAAATACATCAAAGAAACCCACATTGAAGGGCATTCCATAAAATACCTGACCTGTGTTCCTTAAGATTGTCAAGGTCATCAGAAACAAAGTCCGAGAAACTGTTACAGCACAAAGAGCCTAAGGAGACATAAATAAATGTAATGTGGTATTCTAGGTAAGATCCTGGAACAGAAAAATGACATGAGGGAAAAACTTAGGAAATCTAATTAAAATATGGATTAGACCAATATTGATTAATTGTGACAAAATGTGCCTTACTAATGCAAAATGTTAACAGTGGGAGGAATTGGGCACATGTGAACTCTACTATCTTTGCAATGTTTGGGTAAATATTAAACTCTTTAGAAATTAGAAGTTCATTTTTTAAAAATCTAAAATAGAAAATAAATATGTGATTTTTATGTTTAAGTGGCTTATATTAGTTTTATGTAGTTTTCTTCAAATATAATTTTGAAATGAAATTGAACATCTCTTCCTCATTAGTGAATGTCATTTTCATAATGGGGAAAAAGAAGGAAAGGAAGAAAATATCCCCACAAATTCACAAGAGCTTAGAGGTGATGAAACCTTAGATCCCACATTTCAAGTTAGAGGAAAAACCTCTCTGAATTCCTGAGTTTTAGTGGCCAGTTATTTCTCCCAGTTCTCCTAACCCAAAATAGCTTCCCCTCATTTCCAATACCACTCATCCTGTCCTCTTTGTTATTCTTCTCATTTAATCAATTCAGATTATTGCAGTGAGGATGTTAAATGGAAGTCCTAGACTGGCATCTCTTTTACCCATAAGTAAGGTAGAGCCGTAAGGATCCCTGCTGTATGCACCATTTTCCTGGGTGCTTCAGCCTTGACCCACACAGGACGAGCTCCTAATGAGAAACACTTTAAGCCTCCCTCACTCATTCATCCCTGTCCTCTCTCCTGAGACTGCCAACAAGAGAAACAATTAGGGCCAATTGTGGTGGTGGTTGGCTGCCTTTCAAAATAGAAACCATCTCAAAATCCATGTAAGGGCTTGCCTTACTTTCAGCTTCCTTACAGACTGCAGTGACATTTGGTGACAATGCTGAGAATTACCCAGATTATCCATGGAAGCCTGTAATAGTCCAATTACCAACACTTGTTTGCAATCTTATTGTGAGCTTTCTCTGAAATCAGAAAAGGATATGCTGCAACAGGCATAGAGGTGGAGGGTGAGACGAGGAAGAAAAAAGAAAACTGTTCTGAGAATGAAATTGTTTTCATCAGTGACTCAAGGCTCTAAAAGATTAGGTGACTACCAGAAGCCCTGATGTGTGCTTTAATAACCTTAACCATTGTGGGGAAATGGCTTTTCCACAGACTATGAAATCTCATAGCAAGCTTGTGTCCATTATATGTTTCCTATTATATATTGACTTGAGGAAAACTTTCTGTTGTTTTTTGTTTTGTGGTTTTTTTTTTTAAGTAGACCCTGTGTTTTGTCTTCATGAGATAGATAATACCAAAGCATTCTAGAAAGTTTAAAAAAAAGCTGAAAACTAATGTGTTTGTCTGTTACCTAGTTTAACACTTTGAACAGGTTTTTCTTGCTTTGCAATTAAGGAATAATGACCCAATTCAGATTTAACTGAAAAGTGAGGAAGCCCTTGTTAAACTGTTACAGGCTATTGTTAAAAGTTCCATCCTTCAGGGAAAGAAAAAGAAACCAAAATTTATTTTCCCTCTGAGGATGTTTTTCCTTATCAATTCAAAAAAGGATTATATAGATATCTATTAAATGCTTAATTTCCATAATAAAGTCATAAGTGCTGCTTTTCTTTTTTTTCCTTTTTCTTTTAAATAGAGCTGTTAATATGCTGTTATTTGGAGTCTGTGCTCTTCTTACTTACCTTTAGATGTCTGCTCATAAATCAAGAGCTATCATTCATAGAGACAGGAGATGACTGACTTCTCAGCTTCACTAAGAATTCTTCTGAACCCCTAGTCCTATCCATCAACTTTGGCAGTGAGAAAGGCACCATGTGAAGAGACTCCTCTATTTATTATTTTCTCCAGAGCTTTGTTTACATTCAAATTTCACCTCTCTTAAAAGTTTTTAAAATATTTCTCTTTTCTTATAGTCAGTATCTTTTAAATTATAATATTAACATACATGCAGACCATCATCGCTATATTTCTGGAGTACTGGAAATTGTGCAATTGCGTGCATAAACCATTTGCTCACCTCTTCTTTTTAAGAGCATCTATGTTTCTTCATGACTGCTCATTTCTATAGTTTATAATTTTCATTTTGGAAAATTCTGTGCTCTAGACCATTCTACACTGGGCAGTGGCAGCTGTATCACCTCAGATTGGATTATAATTTAAAATTGAGGGTTCTGCCAACAAGTCACTTGCAAGGAAGCCATAGATTGTGTGTGTGTGTGTTTTAATGGAAGTGTTTATGTGCTAATCAAGATTGTGTTAATCAACTCATGTCTCTTTGATTGTTCCCATTAGGCCTCTTGCAACTTATCAGTGCTCTGCTGGCTCAGGATCCCTCTGGCTGCTCTGTCACTGCCCTTCAGAGTAGGAATGCAGATGTTAGTGAACCTGGATTTGTTTATATTCAAATGCATTTGTTGTTCAGGTAGAAAGAGACCCCTCTGCCAAACCGTGAGCTTTCATGATACAGATACAGAAAAAATAGGATTTCACAGACCTTATGAATAATTTGTGGAACAAAAGATACCCAAAGATATCAAGTGCTAATCCCTGGAATTTGTTCATGTTACCTTATACAGAAAAGGAGTCTTTTTGGATGTAATTAAGTTACAGATCTTGAAATGAGGAGATTACCTTGGATTAATCCAGTAAATCCTGCATGCCTTCACAAGTGCCAGTATCTATTTTATAAGTGCCCTTATAAGAGAGAGGCAACAGGTGGTAATATAGACACAGGAGGAGAAAACAATGTGAAGACAGAGGCGGAGATTGGAGTGGTGCAGCCACAAACCTAGGAATACTAGGGCAGCCACCAGGAACTGAAAAAGATAAGGGAAGCATTCTCCTGTAAGTCCCCAGGGAGGGTGGCCTTGCTGGATCTGGACTCCTAGCTTCCAGAACTGTAAGATGATACATTTCTATTGTTTTAAACCACCAGGTTTGTGGTAATTTGTTACAGCAGCCTCGGGAAACTAAAACAAGCAAAACTAAAAACTCATATAGAATGTTATATTTCATAAATATATTTCATAAATAAGTCTTATTTATGAAGGATTTAATAATCCTCATAGTGTTATTAAATTATCGAAATTCTTTAGGATCTTCATCAGCACGACTCCTGGGCATGACCACCCTCTCCTTCCTTCCCCTACAGCTGCACTGTTTAATACTGTAGCCACCCACCACATGTGGCTATTGAATAATTAAAATGTAGCTACTGGGACTTGAGGAATTGAATTTTTAATTTTATTCAATTTTAATTAACTTAAATTTTTAAAACTTGATTCAGTTATTGGAAAACTTTTAAAGTACGCTCAAAACAATTTAGGTATGTGAATTTACGTTCCCAGCTCTAAATTTTATGAAATATAAATACACATCAAATATTTCTAATTAAAATTTAGCATTACCAAACTGAGGTGTGCTCTATGTGTAAACCATATACTAGATTTCAAAGACTTATGAAAAAATAATGTAAAATATTGCGTTAATAATTTTATATTGATTATATGTTGAAGTGGTAATATTTTTGATGTATTTTATCTAAGAAAATATACTATTAAAGTTAATCATATTTCTTTGTAATTTTTTTAATGAGGCTGCTAGAAAGTTTAAAATTACGTATATCTCACATTGTATTTATTTTGGACAGTGCTGCCCTACAGTCTCCCTTCTGAGTTTTCCAGCAAACTGGTCTTAGCAAAAAGTCTGATTTCTTGTACTTTATAGACCACAACATTCACCCAACTTACCATTGTCTGGAGGACTATGACCATATCTCCATTCTTATGGATGGTTAATTTATTTGTCTTTTTGAATAGAAGTGATCAGCTTTAGAACTGGAATTTAAAAATAAACAATATTGCCTTCATTCATTATAGCATGTGAAAGAAAAATAATCCAAGATTACACATCTACTTTTTTTATATTTTTATTTTTCTTCAACTTTTATTTTAAGTTCTGGGTACATGTGCAGGATGTGCAGGTTTGTTATATAGGTAAACATTACATGTCTTCTTAAAAAAGACAGTATTCTAGATGATTGTTATTTGAGGATGTTTACAGTGTTTGGAAATTAGACACCCTGTCCTGAAGTTTGAAGAGCTTTGGCAAATATTTTCCAGGCCAGTTTCTCATATCTCTTGAGAGTTCTTTGTGTAACAGCAATATATTTATTCTTGCTTTGTTTTATGTGCCTCATGAATAAATAATTTTAAAATAACATGCTAGATAGTGGTGTAAATAAACAACTTTATTTTGATTAAATTAATTGAACATGTCATTTCATTTGAGTAATACAATAATATTTCAATTTCTCTGTTATTACATTGAATATAGTCCGTGTTTACTGGTTTTAGGCACTTACCATAGTAAAAAATAACTCAGTAGAACCAAGGATTATAAGTAGAAAGATTTTTTATCTGCTAGTCTATGTTGGACTGATTGTGGATCTGAAAGCTATAAACAATAAACAGAACTGGAGTGTGGCAAACCTCTCTTATTTAGTATTTGGAAGTGGTCCAGTTTTGTTTTGTCTCTTTCTCCTCCTGATTCTTTAATTAAAACATGCTCTCCCATGGGCCCCTCCCACATTGCTGCCACACTTACCCCAGATTCTGTTGGCTTTAAAGGAGTCTTAAAAAAAGAACTAACAAGTATATCACTTAAATCACAAAAGCTACAGGAGCTGGAAAGAACAGTCCCCTAGTTTCACAGACAAGAAATTGTTTAGAGTCAAAGCCAAAACTAGAACAAAGGGTCTTCTGCCATCAAGTCTAATTTTCTTTCTGCTAAGTCATATGTGTCCACTAAAAATGACCTGAAAATACCTTGAATATTATGTTTCTGTATGAGCTCCCAACTCCCAAGTATATAATAAAAATGAAAGGCCAGTCCTTATAAAAATTGGAAATGATAGTAGTTGTTCTGACACCATTACACCTGTGGATGTCTCCTGAATTTACGAGGTGCCTTCCAAGCACTCACTCCTCCTACTTTACTCAGAATGTCTGCTGATAAAATAGTGTTACGTTTGTCAGGTAGGGACCCTAGACACAGGTCTTTCCTACAGTTGTTGTAACTGTGTCCAGTGGTATATATAAAGTCCCATGTAAAGTTTCCAAGAGAAGTATTAAATTCTTAGTCACATACGTAAGTGTTCTGGACTTGGAGATTAATATGCATATTTCATTTTTTAAGTTAAATGTATTATTTAATATGGCATTCAACTTTCAAAGCTAAATACTAGTTATTTCATTTTATGAATTCTGGTAGGAGTAAAGTGCAATTTGAAGAAAAATTAATACTATGGTCTATATTGGGACATCTTTAAACACTTTCTTTAACTTTTATTTTAAGTTCAGGAGTACAAGTGCAGGTTTGTTACATAGGTAAGCTTGTGTCATGGGGGTTTGTTGTACACATTATTTCATCACTGAGGTATTAAGCCTAATACACGTTAGTTATTTTCCCTGATCTTCTCCCTCCTCCCGCCCTCCACCTTCTGAAAGGCCCTAGTGCGTGTTGTTCCCTTCTTCGTGTCCATGTGTTCTCATCATTTAGAACACTTTTAAAGTGCTATTTATTTAATATCTAAGTTTGCTTTTCAATGTTCATGCCCATACATTTCAGACTTATATACTAAACTCAAGATGCACTTTTTTCTTCACTTTAAGTCTTCCTCTTCTAATGACTAGATTGTTGATTTACATGTGGAGGTCTTAACACACTGGTTTTAGTAACTGACATAGGGTAGTGTGTGCATAGTCATGGTGACTTGGTCAGGAACAGCGCACACAGTTAGAGATGGGCATAATGGGTCATAATGCTGGTGTGCAACATGTTGCATCCACATCCTTGGACTCGTTTCTTCTCTGGATTTTGTAGTCTGGAAAACCAGGTTCATTCAAGGACTGTCTGCCTCATATAATTATGGAGATGATTTGGGATAGTGTATTCATGCACATTATGGAACATATTAACTATGAAACACAAATAATTGCATTGGGTTACTTTAGGGACTCTAGTCTGATAGGGTGTTGAAAATAATCATAAAAGGAAAGAGAATGGGGGGATATAATGATACGAAATAAAGAAATAAATGACGGAGAAGACCCTAGGCTCAGAATGAGGCTCAAAGCTGTAGCATTGACCTGGGAGTATTAATTTTCCTTAAAAACTTAGTGTTTTGGCTCATGTCTGTAATTCCAGTGCTTTGGGAGGTCAGGGTGAGAGGATCACTTGAGGTCAGGAGTTTGAGACTAGCCTTTGCAACAAAGCAAAACTCTGCCTTTACAAAAAATTAAAAAATTAGCTGGGCATGGTGGTGGGCACCTGTAGTTCCAGCTTCTCAGAAGGCTGAGGTGGGAGGATCACTTGAGCCCAGGAGTTCATAGTTGCAAGGAGCTATGATTTGATCATGTCACTGCACTCCAGCCTGGGTGGAAGAGTGACACCTTGTCTCAAAGGAAAAAAATAAATAAATAACAAAAAACTTAGAGTTTCAGACCATCCTGTATGGCTGAGAAAAATGTTACAAAACTTTTCACATACTGCAGTAGTAGATTTTGATAGAGAGATTGGAACAGTGACAAAAATTTTATTCTTGTCATTATTGAAAACAGTAGGCCATAAACATGCATTACAATTGCATAGTATTATTGATATTATTGTCAGGTGATGTGTGTAGGAGTCTCAATTGTTGAGCAAAGTTTGCATTCATTGGATAAGGGGATCTTGCCCATGAAAATGGAGGGCTGTCTGTAGTAGGTAACTCTGGGAAGCTGCTATTCCAATCATTTAAATGTGTTGGCATTAATTTTTTTTAATTTTTATATGTAAGGTTAGGGTAGGAGTAGGGAAAAAAGGAAGAATTAATTCCTTTAGTTGGAAAGTAGATATCCTGTGATAAATATTTGTAGGAATTCTTATATCTGCTTCTTTGAATCCTAAACAGTTTAGTGGCATTCAGACGTAGTTTTGTATTTGTATTGCTGTTATCATTAACCATGGGTAGCATCTTCTTCTCCTTGTCCTATAAAGTATATTTCAGCTTATTTTCCATTACAGCCAGTTCCCCGTTCAGCCATTATGACAGATGACCTCTGAAAGCAGCCCTAAATGGACATGTAAACATGATATGTGAATGCAAGTAGTTCTGTGTGATATTTCCTTTATACACAAAGTTTTCTTCAAGCAATAGCTAAAGCTTCTTGCCCTTTTCAAACCCTCCAATCCTCAGGAGGTTATTTTCAGTGAAGTGATGAGAAGGAAGAGTTCAAATAGGATTGATTTAATAGAGCTATGATGTGAAAAATCTCACAACATGTTTTCTGCCTGAAATGGCCAATCATGGAAGCATTAAAATCAGAGTGGGGAAGGAAGCGAAGGCATCCCAGAGAGGCACCCAAATTAAAGAATGATAGCACCTTGCCATTCCTGTGTGGAGAAATAAAAGTGTTAAAGAATGAGAAATAGCGAAAGAAACATTTGAAGGAGTCATCATCTGTGAGCTACAAACAGCTTCAGCCATAAATTTAGTGCAAGAAAATGTCCCCACTACCCTCTCTTCACCAATGACCCAAGAAATTAAAAGAAAACCTTCATGTTTTTTTTGTGCCTCTATCTCCCTACTTCCTCCAAAGAATACACTCTTTCTTACCTGTATTTTGTTCCTATTATCACAAAATTTTATTCTCTTTAATATTTCAATAATGTAATTGGCTTGTTTCTCTTGTGCTATTCACTATTCTCAAAGAGTATTATTCATTTACACACTCTTTAAAGCTGCCTACCAGGGCATCAAAAATCTAGCCTGAGGGCTGAGGCTTTCTAAGAGATTACTTCCAAAGAAGGATGGCAGTCATGGCAGCGAGCATATGGATAGCAGATCACTGAAATCGAATATGGAATAGCTAAATAAAGTGTTAGCAATAAGTCTTGCTAGAATTGTGAGGGTGGGTAGTCCTGAATCTTTTTGCGGTTGCCTCTGTTCCAAGATCACTTGGTTATTAGTGACATGACATGCATTCACAAAATATGCAGGAAATTGCTTTGCAAATCAGAATTCTAGCTAATACCCTATCTTTATTATTATAAATATGTGGTTATGGGAGACTGTGTGCACAAACGTAGGAGATTTCTTTCTTTCTTTTTTTTTTTTTGAGATGGAGTCTCACTCTGTCACCCAGGCTGAAGTTCAGTGGCATGATCTCGGCTCACTGCAACCTCCGCCTCCAGGGTTTAAGCGATTCTTCTGCCTCAGCCTCCTGAGTAGCTGGGACTACAGATGCACGCTGCTATCCCCGGCTAATTTTTTTTGTATTTTAGTAGAGACAGGGTTTCACCGTGTTGCCCAGGCTGGTTGAGAACTCCTGAGCTCAGGCAATCTGCCCTCCTCGGCCTCCCAAAGTGTTGAGATTACAGGCGTGAGCCACCACGCCCCGCTAAGATTTCTTTAAGCATTAAGAAAATAAGTAGGTGTAATCCCATCCCTTGGAAGGAACTAGATCTTTTCTGATGTCTACCCTTTCAATTTATGTATACATATGGATACATTCTTTTTAAAGAAGATATAATACCCTGTACTTTGATTTATAACCTATTTTTACTATAATAGGTTGAGAAGTGCAGGAAGGAACTGGAGGAAACATATGTATATAGATCTTTTCAGAGTTTGTGACTGAAATGCTGGGATTCAGGTTGGAGGAAGAAGAACAACTGAATAATTAGTGTCTTTGAGATGGTGAGAATGAATAGAACCTACAGAAACTATGTGGAACTGGGCTTTGATGGCATGAGGGCTACTTTTGTTGTAGCAGGAGGAAGGGGGGTGTGGACACTGGTGGGTTTACAAACAGATCCAGTGATAAGAAAATGAAGAGAGTCCATGTTGGTGACTTGCCCTTGTCTTTCCTAACAAAATCTGAGGTAACGTCTTCAGCTGACTGTAAATGAAAAGGGGATTGTAGGGACTTTGAGGAGAGAGTGAAAAGTATGAAAATTTTCTTGATGAATAAAACTGAATTTTCTAGCACACTAGGGTGGGATTGCTGGACATTATTGAGTTATTATTTAAGGTTTATGATTATGCAATTAAAATGAGTTAGAGGATTAAAGGTGTGATTTTTGCGGAAATTTTTAGCAGCGATGTTTAGCTGTTTAGGCACAAGTACAGGAAAGGTTAATGGTATATGTAATACACTCAGAGGTGGAGTTTTGCCAAGTGACTCTAATAGAGGGAGGTGAGAGCATTTGCAAAGAGAATGTAAACAATGACAGATAAGCAAAAAAGGAGACAGAGGAGGATAAATGGTATATGTAGGAAATGAAAGAATTGTGGCAATATGAGTATCAGAGCAAATGGGGGTGGGGGAAGGAGGGATTAGAAGTAGTAATTAAATATTAGAATGTTTAAAACTGAGTTTCTCATAAGTACAAGGTCTGGAGTGTGCCCTTGACAATGTACTTGAATTGGTGAGAGGATGTGGAGAAAATGGAGCCTTGAAGGAAAGGAGAAGCAGGTTGAATGATTCGTTAATGTGGATGTTGAATTCACTATGAATAATGGCAACAGTTGTGGTGGAGAGGAGTTATGTGGTAACGTTTTTCATGAAATAAAGGAAGTGACAAGGAGATAGGGAGGTAACTGTAGCCAGTAAGGTAAGACCATGATTTATCAAGATGGTGGACATCTTAAAGGAGTAGTGGTTTTTATGAGGGACAAGGAGGCGATAGTCTAGAAGCCACAAGGGCAAGCAAGGAGGACACTAGCCTCACTTTCTGGCCTTGAGGTAATGAGGTATAGAAGAGAGAACACAATCACTGCTTGAGGTTATAGAAAAATTTTGTTCTCAGAGGAAAAGTAGGTTTCAGCTAAGATAAGGAAGTAAAGGAAATGTTCTGAGAAATGAACAGTAGAAAGCAGCTTGAGGAAGTGAGGAGAGGATAAAGATTGGGTCTGAATGGGAGATGAACTGGAAAATTTGGAGATGAGTCTGGGTGAAAACAAATATCCAGTAAGGTCCACTGCTAACAGTGGTGACTGAAGCAAGCAAGAATAAGAGACACAGGTGGGACAGTCCTCATGGATCTGAGATGGGTTCTTTATAGGACTGTGGCTCCCTGGCGCCTAGCTCAGGGTGATGAAACTGCCTAGACTTTAGAATCCCTAGAGAAGGGACTAGAGAAGTCCCTAGAGAAGGTTCAGCTAGAGCTGAACCAAAGCAGCATTACTTCATCTGTTTTATACAGGGACTTGCTCAAAACGTTTTGTTTGAAGAAAGTGTCACGTGGCTTTAGAAAATTAAAAATACTGTTACAGGTCATCAGGCATAATTTACACAAATCCCTGGGTAATCCAGAAAGGGACAAATGAAGTTTTAAAATTTGATTATTTTTTACCATGTTTTCTTTCTCACTGAATGGTAGATTTGATCATAATTGGGTTTGTGGGTAGGAACTGGAGCAGAGGAAGCAAAAATTATCAGGAGACAGGGAGTCAGGGTGAATAAGCAGAAAGTTCTGATTTTGTTTTTCTTGTCAGACAGAATGTTGAATCTCTTGTCAGAGAATTGCATGGCAAACTGTGGACAACCCTATCCATTAGGGAAGATTTATATACATCAACTTCCATTCCAGGCTGAAAAGAGGGTTGAGAGCCAGGACAGACATGTCTGAATGGTGTCGATTCACATGTAAGTTGTGATATGTCCCTCTCACCTCCCTCTCCACTCTGTACAGCAGATGACAGCCACTTCTATTAGCTAACATTTCATTCGGTGGACAAAGCTTAGGTAGTAAGACAGGCCATTTTATTCTTCCCTGGACTAGTTATTTTCCGTCATAGAGACTGTATGGCAGTGATATCAGGGCTCTCAGCCACCCCCGACCTCTTTCTTCTTCTCCTTTTTTTTTTTTTTTTTTTATCCAAAGGAACAACATCTGGGTAATTAGAATGATTAGCGTTTTTTTATAGCTAGAATTCTTGAACATTTGTGTTGGCTGAGATAATGGAATTTCCCCTCACATAATCTATCTTCAGCAATGCTGAGAAACATAATTTTCATATTATGAAAGCTCGGTCTTTCCTTTTGGGGTAAAAATCCAAGCTATCTCTGAGCATAGATGAGAAAAAGTGATTTTCTAAATCAACACCTGTCAGAGTAAGTTTCTCTTTCAGAAGTTTTCTGTAAGTTACTCTAATTTTTATCACGGTTCTTAATTGATCCCACTGTTTAGCCAGATATAATTTTGATGTTTACTCCTTGTCCTTTCTATTGAACTTACATTATCCTTCTTATTCTTCATGCCTTCTTAGGAAACACTTCCTTCCAGATAACCCCTAAGCCAGGTTATGTGTTGTTGCTATATGTAGTTGGAACACTGTATTTTTTCCTTATCACTTATATAATTTTTGGTTATTTATTTAGTTATCTATATCTGTAGGTCTATGAGGAGAAGTACATACCTTGTTCATTTTTATATCCCTGTATCCTGCACAAAGCCTAGATCAAATTATGCTTAATAAACATTTATTGAATTAATAAATATCATATTTTTGAATTTGGAAAATTAGTATTTGTAAAATTCCATCATGACACTGACTATGAAGTTCTTTCAAACTATATTCTCTTACCTTCAGTGGGTTAATATATTTCAGAACCCTAGGTCAATTTCAGTACTAGGTATTCAGAGGGCACTCAATGTTGTTAAATTGCACCATGGGAATTATTGTACAGTGTGTATCCAAAATTGGGAAAGGTCAAATCTGGAAAAGTAACCAAGTCTTTTGAAGGTTTAAAAGTAGCCTCATAGTTATATCAAATTTTACTAGGAAGTTATTTTCTATCTGTCTTCTTTTTTCCTCCACTGTGTCTGAAGAAGTTAAACAATTTTGTTATAGGAAACTATTTTTATTATGTTATTCAATGTCTAGTGAGTATTTGTCAAGAGAATGGTTTTAATCAAGAAAAGATACACTTATTCAGGAAATAGACCCCTTTTTTATCTTCCATGAACTATTTGTTGAACTTCAAGGTCAGGATCCAGTACTGATGCTTAGGAAGTCAAATCAGACACTGCTGTGTTAAAGAAAGTATCGAAACTTTTGTTTCATAGCAAGACAGCTGTTCTGCATAAGGGCAGGACAATGAGTGGCAGGATTGGGAGTTATGTGGCAATCCAAATCTTAAAACAAGGCTGACTTCCACTCTAGATAATTAGAGTAAAATCAGATATGTGGGAACAGGATGAACAGGTAAGGAACAGGAACAGGTAAGCAATTCAGATTTTAAAAGAAAAAAAGGCACAAAGAGCTTGCCTTCAAATGAATGAGAGCCTTCACCTGCCTTCCTCTTTGAAGCCCATAGTTACAAATGAATCAGTTATGATTTGGCAACAGATGATGTTTGCTATACGCTGGCATTTGCCATCTAATCTTTTCAGTCATGGAATTCAACCAGAGAAGAATATAACCCATGTAACAAATAATTTGATATCTAGGTCCAGAGAAGATTTTGGCAATTTCAAAGTGCCACTGAATATTCTAAATTTAATATGGCCAATGAGCCTACATTTTAGATCTTATGTTTTCTTGGGAGCTACATTATTCTCATTTTAACACATATTGAGGATCTACAGTCTTCTGATTGCTGAGATACCTACTGGCTCTAGTACCCTTGAGCTAAAGATGATTATATTCTAGTAGAATGGGAACATATGTATACTGTTATGTATACATAAATTTATTTATAAATTTCAATATAGTGTATAAAGAGAATATGGAGAAAAGTACTATACCCTAATGTAAAACTTCATAATAGGCCACTTGAGCATAGCACCTAAACGGGTTTTTTTAAGGATGCGTATGATTTAGCTTTGTGAGGAAGCAGGAGAAGCTAGTCCTGCTAGAGAGAATATTATGAACAGGATATGGAGTGTGTGTGCGTGTGTGTGTGTGTGTGTGTGTGTGTGTGTATGTGGTGGAGTATAGGGTAACTAAAAGTAGCTCCAAAGACTAAAGGGAAAAAAAGGAGAATTAATCAAGGCTTAGCTGATAAAATGGGCTTTCATGCTATATTAATGAACTTGGAATTTATCCCAAGGCAAGGAATTAAGTATGAATAATGTGATGTCATATCTTCATTCAGGTGCCTCTGAGGAGTAGATATATGAAGAAAACAACACAGAATAATAGTCCAATGTAGTAATCTGGATTAGAGAGATAAGGACCTGGAGAAGAGGTTACTATTTTTTTAAGGAGATGTCAGTGTAAGAGAAGTAATAGATTTTGTGCCACCAACAATACAATTATTCTACTGTTATTACTTTTGTGGTTTTTTACAAGATATAAAAAATTTATGTTAAGATAATATATTAGTCTGTTATCTTGTTGTTATAAAGAACTGCCTGAGACTGGGTAATTTATAAAGGAAAGAGGTTTAATTGACTCACAGTTCTTCAGGGTTGGGGAGGCCTCAGAAAACTTACAATCATGGTGGAAGGGGAAGCAAACATGTCCTTCTTTACATAGCATCAGGAAGGAGAAGAATGAGGGAAGTGGGGAAAAGCCCCTTATAAAACCATCAGATCTCATGAGAACTCACTATCACGAGAACAGCATGGGGAGACCACCCCCATGATCTAATCACCTCCCGTGAGGTCCTTCCCCCAACACATGGGTATTACAATTCACATTACAATTCAAGATGAGATTTTGGTGAAGACACAGAGAAAGACCATATCAAATATATTTAGATAAATTGGATGACAGGTATATGTGTTTGTATGTTAGTATGTAAGTTACTAAGGTGTTTGAGGAATTACGTGTTGGGATGCATATGAGAATCAGGTCAAGAACAATAGTTATATTCTGAACTGAAAAAGATGGGCTTGGATCTGTGTGTAAGGAAAGGGATGACAATAGGAATTTGTTTATTTCCTTTGCATAAACTGAGCTCATAGAAACCTTCAGTTGACAGTTACCTGTCTGCATAAGAACCTCTACAAAACAACTTTTAATATTCCTGTGGTATCAGTTTACACTTTTTCTAATATACGGTTAACACTTTTAACTGAGACATGTAGAATTCCCCAAAATTTACTTTTTCTTTAGCATTTGAAGATGTCATTCATAACCCATCTTCCACTATTTTTGTTAAAACTTCAGCTGCCATTCTTTTAGCTGTTTCAATAATTTGGAAACACCTCAGTGTCTATCAATAGACAAATGTATAAAGACAATTATGTATATATACACAATGGAATACTACTTTGCCATAAAAAAGAATACATTCTTGTCATTTGCAGCAACATGGATGGAACTAGAGGTCATTATGATCAGTGAAATAAGCCAGGCACAAAATACAAATATTTCATGTTCTCTCACTCATGTGTGGGAGCTAAAAAAAAGTTGGTCTCATGGAGGTAGAGTAGAAAAATAGTTACTAGAGTCTGGGAATGGTGTGTGAGTGGAGGGGATGAAGAGAAGTTGGTTAACAGGTACAAATATATAGTAAGAATGAATAAATTCTAATGATTAATAGCAGATTAGGGTGACTATAATTAACAAGGTTTTATATATTTCAAAATAGATGGAAGAGAGGACTTAAAGAGCTCCCAGCACATAAAAATTATAAATGTTCAAGGTACCATAAACACTCTGACTTTATCACTGTTCATTCTATGCATGTGAAAAAATAACATGTACCTCATAAATATGTACAAATATTATGTGTCAATAAAAAGTTAAAACACAACAAACAAAACTCCAGCTCTTATTCTTATAGTTGTTCCTGTAAATGCAAGGTGTTATTTTGTCCCCCCTCTAACTTCTTTCACTTTCGGTAGTGTTACTAACAAAACCCAGGTATTCTTTTCTTTGTATTTATCCTACTTGGGGTTTGTATAGCTTCTTAAATCAGTGCCTTGATGTATTTGATCTGATATAAAGAATTCTTTGCCAGTATCTCTTCAAGTATTACTACTGTTTCTGTTATCTCTTATTCTGCTGTATCTGCTGTTAAACTATGTATTGAGTCAACGATTTCAGTTATTACATTTTTAGTTCTAAAATTCCTATTTCATTGTTTCCTATAGATTCCAGTTCATAAGTGAAATTTCCCATCTTGTCACCTATTTTCTGAATATATTTGGCATAGTAATTTTAAACCTATGTCTAATAGTGCCAATATTTATTTTTATCTATGGGCCTGTTTCTAGTGTATTTATATATTTTTTCTTTGTGGTTTTAATATTGCATTCTTTTCACAACTGGTAATTTTTAACCTGGTGCCAGACATTGTCCATGGTAAATTTTAGAGGCTCTGGATAAAATTTTACCTTCCTCCAGTGAAAATTTTGCTTTCCTCTGGAAGACTGATTAGGACACGTTTCTTAAGCATTTTAAATTATTACCTTACTAATCAGACTTTTCAGACATTTTGTTTCTAAGCATTCTTCCCATGAAATTGTAATTTCATGCCCCAGATAGACTGCATATCTGTTTTTGAATGTCTCTATATTTGTGCTTTACACATAAAAAGAGTAAGCATAAAGCTTATTCTTTTTTTATTTAATACATGATTAAGAATGACTGAATAAACAAATTAAGTTAAAAGTTAATTTAGGCCAGGTATGGTGGCTCTTGCCTGTAATCTCAACATTTTGGGAGGCTGAGGTGGGAGGATTGCTTGAGGCCAAAAGTTCAAGACCAGCCTTGGTAACAAAGGGAAACCTCATCTCTACAAAAAATATTTTAAAATTAGCTGGGCCTACTGGTATGCACCAGTAGTCCCAGCTATTCGGGAGGCTGAGGTAGGAGGATCACTTGAGCCCATGAGGTCAAGGCAGCAGTGAGCCGTGTTTGCACCACTGAACTCCAGCCTAGGCAAGAGAAAAAGACCCCATCTCAAACAAAACAAAACAAAACAAAACAAATCAAAACAAGACAAATGTTAATCAGGACAAATAGCTAATGCATGTGGGGCCTAATGCCTAGGTGATGGGTTGATAGGTGCAGCAAACCATCGTGGCACATGTTTACGTATGTAACAAACCTGCATGTTCTGCACATGTATCCCAGAACCTAAAATAAAATAATTTTTTTAAATGTTAATTTAACAACTAAAAAACTCTTAACATTTAACTTTACAACTGTGTTTGCTGAGCAACTTTCAATGCATTATGTATGCAAAATTAGCAACTTATATAAATACATAATAATAATAGCAATACACATTAAAATCATTTAAAAATAATGTTTTTGCCAAAGGTAAAACAACTGAAAAAATAATTCCTTAAAATTGTTTTTAGTGAATTTTTCTTAACTTTTACGTGATATGAAAAAATAATTTTTAACTTAAGTAGTGCCAAATCCTCCTTCAGATATTATTAACACTTGTTCTTTTAAGCACATGACATAATTAATGATGGGTTGAATAATTTTCACAGAATATAATTATAAAATATAAGCAATTTTTATTACATTTTCAAAGTCCAAGTCACATGTGAAAACACCATGGATCAAACGTAAATAACATCCGTAAAGTAGCCATGTTTTAGGTTCATGCAAGCCACCTCTGGTAATATGACTTTGAGATTTAACAATCAATCAAAAGAAGGTCACCCCATCACAGCTAACTATTTGGCTGAGATTTGTAGGACTTACCTTGCATATATGTTGTCTATCTCCTGTAAGCTTATTGTCAATGTTGCTCGTGTGATACCCAAGAAAACCCAGTGAAATAAAATAAGTATTAAGGAATATGATCCTGTTGTGTAGAGTTGAGCTTTGGAGGGCTACAAACTAAACATCCAGGTTTTTTTTTTCTTACTATCCAAGGACCAATCTTCACTCCCTTGGAAGCAATATCACTCCTATTGAGAATACATGAATTGGGAATTGATCAGCTTGACCCAGTAAGGCACTGAGGTGATCTGAGGCTAATTTTCAGTCTTTGTGAGTGCTCTTATTCCTAGGCTGTAGATTTTCAGAGTTCTCAACAAAAAGCCTGGACTGTGTATCCTTCCTTAGCTGGCCCTGAACTCCAATTTTTGTCTTCTCAGTCCTTGGAGACTATTGAAGGCTCTGCTTAATTTTGTTCTCTCTTAGTTGCCCTTTTTTTTTTCTTTCTTTCTTTTGGCCTCTAGGTCTCTTGCCTACTACTGCTTAGAAAACTTAAAATACAAAAAGTGGCATATAAAGATGGGTTCACTTGTCTGAGGTTCCCTTTTTTCTTCCATCTCAGCCCCCTCATATCCTGACTACCTTGCTAATCCTGAACTTCAATTTTCATTTCCCCAGTCTCACAAGCCTGTCAAAAGTTTTGAGCTCCTACTTTCTGCTTCTGCTTTCAATCCTGCACAGCTTACAAACTGGCAAATGCTGTGAGGGGAAAAGCAGTGGAGGATTTACTTCAATGTGTTTTCCTTCTTGGAATCTTGGATCATTATATTCTGGCTGCTGTGGTTGCTTTCTGATCCATTCATATGTGTTTTGTATTTTATGGAGCTTTTATGTTTGTTCACAGTGGGAGTGTTGGTCTGTTACAAGGTATTTTGTCATAGCTGGAAGCAGAAGTCTCAATCCAATGATGTGGATTAGTTGGAAGTTTGATTAGCTTCTGGCTGAGGAGACTGAGAAGAGCTCTAGGCAGATGTTGTACGAAAAAAGTGTGAATGTCGAGATGACCATTACAATTCTAAAGTTTATTTTTTCTCTTTAAGTAAGCCTCAAATATGTTTCATGCCATCCTTATTCTAATGAAGATAAATGATAAAATGGAATTAATGTAAAATGTTTGCTTCATACACACCTTTAAAAACATATTGTGTATCTGAAGCACTACTATTCTGTGTCTGGGCAGACTGATTGCTCTATTTTCATAACCAAACCTGGAAGGCTAAAGTTTTCTTGAATTACCTGAAGTGGAACATTAAGAGACAGTATGTCTACATGTGACATCTTTTTGCTAATAATTTAGGATTGGTTTCTACACTAAGATTTTTCTAATTCGACCACCTATTAGTTGCCTTTTTTCTTTTCTTTTATGCCTCTGGTCTAATTCTTTGTCAGCAGTCATAAATATAAGGTTCATTTTAGGATTTTTTTTTGCCCCATCTTTATCCATGGCTAAAATACAACATTGGACTGTTCCTCAAGTCGCTCCCAGGTGCTACTATAAAACTATTTCATCTCCTCACTTCCTAATACTGTTTTGCACTAGTTCTTTGGAAGGAGGAGGTAGAATGTTTTCCTGGTCAGTCATAAAAGTATAATGCTTTTGCCTTCTCTTTGAGCCTGATTATAGCAGCACCTAATTCCACAGATGAAATGTGATCTTGTGTATTGTTATGAAAAGCATTGAAAATAGCTCTTTGGATTTCTCTTATTTGAACTGTCCCATGAAATAAATCAAGAGTCCAACTTATATTTTTAGTCAATACTTTGGTACTTTTACAGTAGCTATTATCTATGTGCATGTTTAATTAGAATATTGTAATAGTTTTATTAAATAAAGCCATTGAGTTGATAGACTTCTCTCCAGATTCTTTACTAAATACTGTTATTATTTATTCATCCATTCAACATTATAAATTAAGCCATTCTGCCTCTAACCCCAGCACTTTGAGAGGTCGAGGCAGGAGGATCATTTAAGGTCAGGAGTTCGAGACCAGCCTGGCCAACATGGTGAAACCCTGTCTCCACTAAAAATACAAAAATTAGTGAGGCATGGTTGTGCATGCCTGTAATCCCAGCCACTCGGGAGCCTGAGGCAGGAGAATTGCTTGAACTCGGGAGGCAGAGTTTGCAGTTAGCCAAGATCGCACCACTGCACTCCAGCCTGGGTGACAGAGACTCCATCTCAAAAAGAAAAAAAAGGCTATCTTCTTTTTTAATAGTTTCTATTCTAGCAGAATGAATGCAATAACAAAGATACCGCTCTTGGAGTAAGGAAGACCAAAGACCTAACTACCTGGGGAAACTGGATAAGGCTGCAAAAAGAAGGCAGGACATGTTTCTACTGGGATTGTCCTCTTATAAGGGAAACAGATTAAGGAGAAAGATAGGAGGTCAAGGAAAGGATCTAATTTTAAAGACTGAGTGTTTTTCTAGTTTTTGGACCAAATGGGACCACTTCTGCTTCTGTTTCCTGTGCCTGCTCTGCCTTTTGGAGTTTGGGTCCCTGTGGGAAAATGATGAGCCAAGGACAAAGGCTATCCTTACAAAAACAGAAAGATCAAAGACCAAAAAAAATAATAATGGGTTGAGGAGCCTGTTGTTACATGATTCTTTGGAGACATCTGAGAGTAAAACTAACCAGCCTGCAGGATGGGATCAAACCTCTTGTGAAATATTCATTCCCCTAGGTCACAATTGAACAGCAAGGATTTTTGAGAAGAATGTGTGTGTGTAGTGGAAATATTGATAAAAATTGGGTCTAATTCTTTGTTGTCCAAAGAGACTTTATAGCTCTTCTCATTAACACTTGCTTTCTACCATTCCCTTGGATGTTGAAACACAAAGGTTGAGTTTGAACCCCAAAGTTAATTTTATTATAGGAAAACGGTCTTTTACATGAAAACATTGAGAGGGAAAAATGAAAGGAATATCACCTATTTATACATTTTTCTACTTTAATCACAATTAAAAGGGAATTTAAGTCTCCATATGTGCGAAAGACTAGATTATTTTATTTTATTATTTATTTTATTTTTCAGACAGTCTTGCTCTGTTGCCCAGGCTAGTGGTGCAATCTCAGCTCACCACAACCTCCGCCTCCCAGTTCAAGTGATTCTCTTGCCTCAGCCTGCCAAGAAGCTGAAATCACAGGTGTGCACCACCACGCCTGGTTAATTTTTGTATTTTTAGTAGAGACAGGGTTTCTCCATGTTGGCCAGGCTGGTCTCAAACTCCTGACCTCAAGAGATTCTCCTGCCTCAGCCTCCCAAAGTGCTGGGATTACAGGCATGAGCCACTGTGCTTGGCTTTTATTATTTATTTATTTATTTATTTATTTATTTATTTATTTTGAGGCCAGGTCTTACTCTGTTTCCCAGGCTGTAGTTCAATGGCATGGTAGGCTTACTACAGCCTCAAACTCCTGGGCTCAAATGATTCTCCTGCCTCAGGCTCTGGAGTAGCTAGAACTACAGGCATGCACTACCACCACGCCTGGCTAATTTTTTTATTTTGTTAGAGACGGGGTCTCACTCTGTTGCCTAGGCTGGGACTGTAGAATTTTTTAAAATACGTATGCTTACAGCTATTCAAATTTGTAGAGATGCACAAAACTTTGCTTCCTAGGAAGGCAGAATGATAATTTCTATCTAGAATCAAGAATATTTAACATTAGTGTAATTTATGTTCCCCATTTATTTAGATTACCGGTGTGCTGTCCTTTTAGTGTCCCCTTTGCTAAGATATTGGAAAATGTCACAAGCTTAATTTCTATTTACTTCAACTCAGCATATTTTGGGGTGGACCCTAATATTTGCCTATAGAAATTTTCCCATATTTTAAAACTCCAGAGGGAAACATGAGCTCTGCTGTGTGTCTTATAATGTCTGGTTATCTAATAATGGCTGAAATTTCAAGTACAAAGTATCTGATAATTATTTCTGTTAAGACAGAATATTTCTGAAAGAAATTGATTCTTATAATAGCATTTTTTATTATGGTATGCAAAACAAAAACCTCCAAAATTTTTTTCTCTAGAACATTAATCTCAAATATAAGTTCTCTGTACCAAATTTTCCCTCCCTCCCCTACCAATCTCCCTTTTAGTTCTACTTTATTTCAGTAGTAGAGATAATGCTTTCTCATTTGATGGGCTTCTATTGTAGAACCTTAACAATTTATGGCCCTTTCTTGTTTAGGAGTCTGTTTCCAACCTTTTCCCAAAAGTATGAATTCTTTGAAGGCAGGGACTATGTTGCATTAGTCACAGAGATATACAGTAAAAAATGCGGTTGGAACTCATTCATCTGTACTTTTCCTTTACTTCCTCCTCATGCAAAATCTTTCTTAAGCAGAGATTTGAAGCAAAATGAACCGTGTAAATGGAGGCAAGGTAATAACAAACAAAAAAAATTCCTCCAGGTCCCAAAAGCCAATGTATAAAAACTAAGGCTGAGAAAGGATGAACACACGAGAAACACCACATTGATCTTTTAGTAATAATAACTTCCAACTAACTAGTCTCCACTGAGAAGTCGTTCATGGCATTCCTGGGATGTATGAATAGAGTGTATGTGAAAGACCACATGGTTAGAGTTTCAGGAAAGAGACAGTAGAAAGAAAGGATATTATCTTAAACTGGTGGATGTCTGTAATTGACAACAACTTGATTTCATTTCTTTGAATAAAGCATAATGCTCAAATTCCTGCTGAATCTTCATGATTATTCTAGGGACTGTAACTCCAAGTTTGAAAGCTAAAGGATTGTTGTATGGATTATTTTTTTCATTTTTCTACAAGACTTTACAATAGAAGTTATTAAAGTGCTGAACCTTTCTAATCATGTTGACATAACAAGGGAATTGCATCACATAGCAATTCACATGTAACATTTCTAGTGTCTTGTCAGACTGACTAAATAGATTATATTATTTTATTTATTTATTTATTTATTATTTATTGAGATAGGGTTTCTTTTTGTCACCCAGGCTAGAATAGTGGTACCATCATGGCTCACTGCAGCCTCAAACTTCTGGGCTCAACCGATCCTCCTGCCTCAGCCTCCCAAGTTACTAGGACTACAGGCATGCATTACCAAGTCCAGCTAATTAAAAACAAACAAACAAAAAAACTTTTTTTTTTGAAACGGGACCTCACTATGTAGCCCAGGCTGGTCTCAAATTTCTGGCCTCAAGCAATCCTCCCATCTCATTCCCCCAAATGTGCTGGGATTACAGGCATGAGCGTCCATGCCCAGCCTGGTGATATTATTTATTTATGCTAAGACATGTATAAGTCTGCATAAAGCATACAGTCTGATGTTGAATCCAGAACAACATGTAAACAGGCCACACTAATCTAAGAAAAGGTTGCCATGAGGAAAATAAGTACTCCACACTGATATCTTAGTCTTTACATAGTATTCTCATGGTTCTGCCTGGATTTCCTTCAGATCTTTCCCTATTGCCGCCTCTACTACTCATTTTTTTTCTTTTATAAAATCAATTTCATTTTATTAACTTTTCAATTATTTTTCTCATTATATCTATCACCTCCTTTTTTGGTTTTCTGTTTTGTTACATTTGTCTGTCATCTCCCTGCCCTCCATTTTTTTCTTTTATTTCCTCTTCTCAACCACTGGAGTGATTCTCCCTTGCCACTCTTCTGTATTGCACTCAACCTTAGGATTGCATAACAACCCATGAACAAATAAATCCCCAGAAACTTCTTTTTTCAGAAATCAGATAAGAAGCAGGACCCAGTAGAAAGAAATCTGCTGGAGTTTGATCCAGTGTCCTATCTCAAGATTGCTATCCTTTGCAAGTGTGTCTTCTTCACCTTCCTGTGAAGTCCCCTCTACTCCTGAAGCTGTGGCTCAGAGAGAACAAGACCAAACTCCCTGCACAGAATGCCATACTCTTTTGATGGTGAAGCAAGATATTCAGCATGGGTTTTTTCAGGACCTCCAAAACTGCATTCTGTTTTTAGAATAGCTGTTTAAATACCAGCTTAGAAATGCCAGACCTTTCCTAAGGACACAATAGTAAGAGATTCTAAAGCAAAGAAAGTTGGCAATACATCTTCAATCATGCTACTTAAAAAAGTAAATCATGCTTTATAGATCTTAACTTAGCCTTTCCAAATACACGTGTCTGCAGACACTGGTGATTAATGGATGACACTGAAGCCTGGCACCACGGGGCCTGATTAATGGCAGTGACATCATGACTTTTAAATATGCCATTAATGCTGGAGCCCATGACAAATGCAAATGTGACACGTGGATTTTCATGGCATTTGCATAGAAGCAGAAAAAATGTTTTAAACTACCTTTCCCCTTAGGTTAATTACTGACTTATAAGGTAGCATCTAAGGGCAGTGAACTCCACTTCTTCTGCCTTATTTGGGAACGATCTTAAATTTTTCTAGAGGTGTTGGAGCAGCTATAAAATTTCTTCTCTTCTACCCTTCTAAGCTGACTCTAGAACATAATAAATGTATCTATAGGATTCCTAACCTTGGATGTTCTCCCAGAAACAGTATCCTAGGGATTTTAGTGCTATACTCAGAAAAATTAAATCAAACTATGTGTTCTCTATTTGGTTGTCTTTCTACACCCTCACTTGCCTCAGAGAGGAAAGGGGAAATAAAGAGAAGAATCGTTATTTCCTCATTACCAGCCAAGAGAAAAATGCTTCAGCTTCTTCTTACTGAGGCTTGGAGTATGGATTCTTGGCACTGTATATCTTTCTGGATATAGACTTAGCTCTTCCTGAGAATCCTTACCAGGATTCGACTCCACTTCCAGGGTCCCTTCCCCATCAGATATGTAAGCATGTGGTGTGTCTGAAGAGTGTATGCATACACATGCACACATTTGTACCTCATTCTACACTGAGGCACCAAAAGACAACTGCCAGGATGGAGTTGACCTAATATAAGATCAGTTCTAAGAAATGTCAGCAGGGAATAATAGTGGCAGATGAAGAAGGGCACTTGAGAACTTTTAAATTCCCAAGTGACATAGGAAAGATAAAGAATATCCAAGAATCTTTGGGTCATCCTCAGGTCGAGGAAGGTATATTAAGCATTTCAAGAAAGATCAAGGTGGTTGGAGAATAGAGCTATAGAAAACTTTAAAAGTAGGAATGAGTTGGAGTGGCACTTTAAACAAAACTACACACAGAAAATGGTAAAAGCACTATTAGTTAAGTGATTATTTAGTACCTACATCGTGGATAAAATTCACAATTTCTTCGAGGTAGCTATGATCATCCTCATTTTTTCTATATGAGATTTGGGATGCTGAGAAGGTAGTTAAATTGCTGAAGGATTCAGAGCTTAGAAATGGTAGACTCACATCCATGTGTAGATATGTCCGACTTTCTCAATGAAGCTTTATTATTTTTTCATTACATTGCAGAATATATGTAAAATTGAAATGATATTATTTGAGGCATCTGAATTACTGAATCATCAGCTAGGGGTACATCCTATTTCCAAAGACTGGGTCAGGGCCAAGGTTATATTTCTGATATCATGATCTCTAAGATCTTGTTTAGTTCTAACATTCTGTAGTTCTATGACAATTCCTCTCAATGAATACTGTATCCTAACCTTTCTCTCACCCTACTGCCCTTTTCTTTCACCTCCTGCTCAGTCTGACTGCCCTCCATTACTAAGCTGCATTCTTCATTTTGACTACAGAACACACATTATTTTAAGAGAAAATAATTGGTTTCTAACTGCAGGTGTAGTAATTGGCATTCACTACAGTCTTTAGCCAGTTGGGGTAGTTGTGACATTATAAGCAGAGAGCTTGACCTCTGATTCCAGAGAACAAAAGACCTGGCAAAGAGACTGTTTCTATGCAAAAAGTTAACCTTGTATGGACAGAAATAGGAGACAAGGATAGCAGGAAGTAGGCAGCCTAAAATGCAAGGAATTGGATTTTGCCTCCAAGACTTAATGTTTTATGTAGGGTCTTCTTCCCTAAATGTCTTGAATATTAGCAAACCCCAAGGGTACTCACAAACACAAAACGCTAAAAAGAAAAAATAAATAAAAACCCTTAAAACTAGCTTAATCCACTTATGCATTTTCTTTTTTCTTTTTTTCTTTTTGGAGAGTGTGTTTTGCTCTGTCACCCAGAATGGAGTGCAGTGACACGATCATAGCCTCCAACTCCTGGCCTCAAGCCACCCTCCTACCTTGGCATCCCACAATGCTGAGACTATAGGTGTGAACTACCATGCCCAGCCCACTTATATTATACCATTTTTTTTAATTGTACTTTAAGTTTTGGGATACATGTACAGAACGTGCAGGTTTGTTACATAGGTATACATGTGCCATGGTGGTTTGCTGCACCTATCAACCCTCCATCTAGCTTAAGGCCCGCATATGTATCCTAATGTTCTGCCTCCCCTTAACCCCCACCACCTGACAGGCCCTGATTTGTGATGTTCCCCTTCCCTGTGTCTATGAGTTCTTATTGTTCAACTCCCACTTATGAATGAGAACATGTAGCATTTGATTTTCTCTTCCTGTGTTAGTTTGCTGAGATTGATGGCTTCCAGCTTCATCCATGTCCCTGCAAAGGACATAAACTCATTCTTTTTTATGGCTGCATAGTATTCCCTGGTGTGTATGTGCCACATTTTCATTATCTGGTCTATCCTTGATAGGCATTTGGTTGGTTCCAAGTCTTTGCTATTGTAAATAGTGCTGCAATAAACATATGTGTGCATGTGTCTTTATAGTAGAATGATTTATAATCCTTTGGGTATATACCCAGTAATGGGATTGCTGGGTCAAATGGTATTTCTGGTTTTAGATCCTTGAGGAATCTCCATTACAGTTGGCGATTCCTCAAGGAAGACATTCCACAATGTCTTCCACAATGGTTGAACTAATTTACACTCCCACCAACTGTGTAAAAGTGTTCCTATATCTCCACAGCCTCGCCAGCATCTGTTGTTTCTTGACTTATTAATAGTCTCCATTCTAACTGGCAAGAGATGCACTTATACCATTTTTTGATGAAGATGATGTCTAATAAATCTGTGACAAAAAGAAAAAAAAATCAGAGCCCTAATGACAAACATATATTTTAGTTGCTTTGTAGATCACAAGTGAAATACTATAAATTAAGTCATATAATTTTAACAGTAAAAAATAGTTCTGGCAAACTCTTACAGCAAGTTTTGTGAAATCTCATGTTTCTGCTCTTTGGCAAAAATGTAGGAGGAATCCATGTTTATTTAGTATTCTATAAGACAATGTTGTATGAAAATACAAGTAAGTTAATTAATTTCTTTATAGAAACACCATTTTAGATGATTTGTTCTGCAAGAACAGCTTGCCATTTTAGAGATCTGTTTCTGAATCTGGAGATCTCTCTCTTACAGAGACAAAATACAAAAGTTGCTCAGCACCAGATTTTCTAAAGAATCCCTGCTTCTTACTAAGTATTGGCCTGTAGGAAAAAGGGCAAGGACCCTCTTTTAATATCTTTTATTTAGCTCTATTGCCTCTTCTCTCCACTTTCCGGTATGTAAACAAAGACAGTAAAATGAAGAGCTAAAGACATAACATTGATCAGGAGGGAAGGTTGACAAGGAAGTGCAAGAGCCCTCTCCTAGAGAAGAATGAGATAGAAAAGAGTTTGCACGAATAAGAACTTGAACAATGACCAACTTGAAAGCATAGTTTATAAAATAAAACAACTATGATACACTGGAATGAGTGGCCCTGGAGTTTGGAGCCTTGGAAGTAGGACTGATGAGTTGCAATTGGGAATCCTCCTAACCCCTCTATTTTTCCTGTACCCTAGGTGCAATGTATTTGCAAATAGACTTAGCTTCATCTTCAAAAAAACAGACCCAGCATCTGACTGTTTCTCACCATCCCAACCACTGACCACCTGGCCCAAGTTACCATCGCTGTCTTGCTTCGATGGTTACGATGCCTTTTAACTGGTCTCTGCTTCCACATGTGCCCTTGATAGTCTAGTCCAGGGGTCAGCAAACTTATCTGTAGCGGGCTAGGGTATAAAAATTTTAGGCTTCGGGAGCTGTCCAGTCTCTGTCACAACTACTCAACTCTGCTATTTTATCATGAAAGCAGCAATAGACAGGTAAATGAATGTGCGTAGATTTGTTCCAATCGAACTTTTCAGAAATACAGAAATTTGAATTTCATATGATTTCCACGTCATGAAAATATTCTTCTTTTGATTTTTTTTCAAGCATCTAAAAATACAGAACACATTATCGGTTCACAGATTGTACAAAAATAGGCAGCAGGCCAGAGTGATCCTGTTAAACAGTTAATAAGTTCATATTATGCTTCCATTCAAAAATAAGGACAAAAATATTGATGATGGCTGACAAAGTTGTATGTGATCCGTTCTGTTAGCTCTCTGACCTTATCTGCTGCTCTCCTTTCCCTACTGCACTCCAGCCAGACTGTCTCCCTGCTCTTTTAAACTTATCAGTCATACTTCCACTTATTCCTGTGCACTTTTTGTTTGCTTTGCTTGGAACATTCTTCTCTAGATAGCTGCTTGGTTTACTCATTCCATTCTTCAAAACATTTCTCAGAAAAACCTCTCCTAATCACCCTTATTTAAAATTGCCAAACAACTCTTTGAGGAGACACCCACTTTCGATTACCCTGTCTTTTTTTTTTCTTTTTTTGTTGAGACGGAGTCTCGCTCTGTCGCCCAAGCTGGAGTGCAGTGGCGCGATCTCGGCTCTCTGCGAGCTCTGCCTCCTGGGTTCAGGCTATTCTCCTGCCTGGGACTACAGGTGCCTGCCACCATGCCTGACTAATTTTTTGTATTTTCAATAGAGACTGGGTTTCACCATGTTATCCAGGATGGTCTCGATCTTCTGACCTCATGATCTGCCCGCCTCGGCCTCCCAAAGTGCTGGGATTACAGGCGTGAGCAATCACGCTCGGCCAATTATCCTTTCTTTTTATTAATGGTATTCCTTTACTAAGATACTCTGCATTTACTTATGTTATTGTCTCTTTCCACCCAGTAGATGATAGGCTTAAAAGTGGAATTGCATTTTTACCTCTTTTCCTGTTTTGTTTACCTACATCGGAATCTGAAACACATTGAATAAATACTCAAATAGTTGTTGAATAGACTTTTAGTAAGCATGACCTATTGCAGAACTCAAGAATATGGTTCTCAATAAAGTTGTTTTATTAAAAATATGGATCTAACGGTGCTTACTATCTTCTGCCTAAGGTGACAACTGGTCCTACAATTTGGGTGCTGGGGGAGTGTGGATAAAACAGACTTAAGAGGCCTAACATGGGGAGAGAAAAAGGGATGAAGATAGTGAGTCTCACATTTTGCAACCTCTGTATTTATAGGGCTTAGACCACTCACATAGTACTTGCCCAATATTCATTTATTCAACTGAAAGCATCCATTGGTTTGATTATCACATGTACTGCATTGATGTCACCTGCAAAATATACAGAAAGCTGTTGCAGTGTCAGTGCAGACGTGCTCTGAGCCAGCCAGTCCCTATGCCTCATATTACAGGGTGCTGACACTGTCAGAGCACCACTGTTGACCTTGTGGTGACAGGTGCTCACACTGCCATCGGCAAAGGGACTGGCAAACACACAGCTCTTACTTTTAGTTGATTCACAAATGAAATGAACTTGATGTGGTCCATGAAGCTTCACCACATGCTACCAAATTTACCTTATTTGTCATTGAACATGGAGAGAGGGAGTATTCCTTCCTGTACCATATAGATCTATTCTCAAAGTCTATGAAGGCTCCATTCTCACGTTTTCTAAGGTTTCATGGGGCTCAAGACTCCCTTTACTATTAATGTGATACTTTAATAAATTAATAAATAAAGGGAAGTTTCTCTTCGCTGATACAATTTTTTTTTCTGGGAAAATTATCGGTACTAGCGTAGAAAATGTAAAGAGCCATGGATGTGGAGGCAGAAGGTCCTGGTTTAAGTTCCAGCTCTGTCACGTGCTTGCTTTATGACTTGAAAATGCTATCTAATATAAATGACAATGATAATAAATAGCATTTATCAGGGCTTTATCATATGCCAAGTACTTTTTTATGAATTGTTTCCTTTCATCAACTCTCTGAGTTCTGTAATATTATCTTTATTTTACGGATGAGGAAACAGTCTTAGATTAAGCGACTTGACAAGATCAGATAGCTAGTAAGAGTCAGAATGTAAAGGACAGCTCAAGTCTACGTGATGTCACACTCTTCACTATTAACTACTCCCCCGTATTAACACTCCAAGAGTTTGTTTTTCTACATGTGCTAAGCTCTCCCTTTAATCTTATTCAATTTTAAAATTTGGATAGTAATAATTTTCCTTATGCTAAGGTTTTGGTTTAGATAATTGTATTAGTCCATTCTCATGCTGCTAATAAAGACATGCCTGAGACTGGGTAATTTATTTTTTATTTTTATTTTATTTTTTTATTTTTTTATTATACTTTAAGTTTTAGGGTACATGTGCACAATGTGCAGGTTAGTTATATATGTATACATGTGCCATGTTGGTGTGCTGCACCCAGTAACTCGTCATTTAACATTAGGTATATCTCCTAATGCTATCCCTCCCTCCTCCCCCCACCCCACAACAGGCCCCAGTGTGTGATGTTCCCTTTCCTGTGTCCATGTGTTCTCATTGTTCAATTCCCACCTATGAGTGAGAACATGCGGTGTTTGGTTTTTTGTCCTTGCGATAGTTTGCTGAGAATGATGGTTTCTAGCTTCATCCATGTCCCTGCAAAGGACATGAACTCATCATTTTTATGGCTGCATAGTATTCCATGATGTATATGTGCCATTTATAAAGGAAAGGGGTTTAATTGACTCACAGTTCTGCAGAGCTGGGGAGGCCTCAGAAAACTTACAATCATGGTGGAAGGGGAAGCGAACGCATCCTTCTTCACATGGCGGCAACAAAGAGAAGTGCCAAGCAAAAGGGGGAAAAGCCCCTTATAAAACCATCAGTCCTTATGAGAACCAACTCACCATCATGAGAATAGCATGAGGGTAACTAAACCCATGATTAAATTACCTCCTACCAGGTCCCTCCCACGACACATTGGGATTATGAGAACTACAATTCAAGATGAAATTTGGGTGGCGACATAGCCAAAGCATATCAATAATGTATTAAGGTAGATTTGTATTTGTCTTAGGGTTTTTGTTGATGTAGTTTTTGTTAAATATTAGGTACAGTGTATATATGGGAAGTATTTTATGACTGTCACTTTGTGGAAGTGACAATATTATTCCATGCTACTAATATTATTCTATGCTACTAACCAAAAAAAAAAAAAAAAAAATACAAAATCTGTCCCCGCCTCAGAGCACTGAACCTTCCAGAATAATTTAGATATAATAAGACCATGCAGAAATAGAATCATTTTTTGTATGTGTAAAATTAATCTAGGTTAAAATACAGAGAGAAGATTGCGTTTGGAAAAAAACCTTTTCCCACATTTTCTCCAGGCTCCTCTTTATAAAGCAATTCATGTAGTAAGAAATCATTTTTGTTCCCACTTTCTCTTCCTTCCCAAGACAGCATGGGCATCTGTGTCACTTTTCAATGGGTGATTCCGTCATAATTATTCTTCATACTATATCATTGAGTCTGAAGTAACAAATACAGGTTACATTTAGATACTTCTTATATGCATCCTGTGCAACCCCTCCTCACCACAAACACACTTACACTCACAGTAATTCTTAGGAAGAGTACCTGCTCACAACGTAAAATGCCTTTTCCAGGCCGGGTTCACGCCTGCAATCCCAGCACTTTGGGAGGCTGAGGTGGATGGATAATTTGAGGTCAGTAGTTCAAGACCAGCCTAGCCAACATGGTGAAACCCATCTCTACTAAAAAATACAAAAAATTAGCTGGGCATTGTGGCATGCGCCTGTAATCCCAGTCATTCGAGAGGTTGAGGAAAGACAGTAGCTTGAACCCATGAGGCAGAGGTTGCAGTGAGCCGAGATCATGCCACTGCACTCCAGTGTGGATGACAGAGTGAGACTCTGTCTTAAAAACAACAACAACAAAATGCCTTTTCCAGTAAAATGAATTTTTAATAACACCTAAGTGTGTGGTGATTTTTTTTTTTTTTTTTTTTTTTGAGACGGAGTCTTGCTCTTTCGCCCAGGCCGGAGTGTAGTGGCGCTATCTCGGCTCACTGCAAGCTCTGCCTCCCGGGTTCACGCCATTCTCCTGCCTCAGCCTCCCGAGTAGCTGGGACTACAGGCGCTGCCACCAAGCCCGGCTAATTTTTTGTATTTTTAGTAGAGACGGTGTTTCACCGTGTTAGCCAGGATGGTCTCTATCTCCTGACCTCATGATCCGCCTGCCTCAGCCTCCCAAAGTGCTGGGATTACAGGCTTGAGCCACTGCACCTGGCGGGTGATTTTTAATTTGTATTCCCCCTTCCACCATCTTATTCATAAATTGTTTATAAGTTTCTCTGGGTACCTTTAGGTAGTGGGGGTGAGGGGGAATATTCCCAGGAAGAAATAGTTCATGTCTTATCATCATCCCTGTAGCCCTAACCATCCTGTCCATATTGATTATGTGATGGACTTTTGAAGCATTCCTTCTAAGCCAATAGATGATACCCTAATTACAGTCTCTTGGGGTGTTCCACCAGTCAGAACTATGTTGTAGGTGATTTTTTTCTGAGTATTTTGCTCATCTGATATTCTGTTGCCCCTCAAGTATTCTCCACTGTGACACTGCCGATTTTTCTTCACATCAAAATATATCTACTTGCTTCCCATCTCCTTGGGGTCTGCCACTTTGCAGCTCTTGCTAGTTAAAGCTGGTTTACTCATTTCTTGTTTTGCAATGACTAACTAATTGAATGCATCCTTCTCAGGGAATCATTACCTAATCCATCTAATGTTTGTTTTATTTCTATTGAAGTCCTTGAAAGGAATATCTCATTTAATCCTCAGGACAACAATATTAGAAATCACCATCCTATAAGACAGGAAACTGAAAATCATCAAGATTAAGAAACTTAAAACAGCCAATGGGGAATAAAGCTTGGGTTGAGGTGAGAAATAAATGTCTGAAAAGGGAAATCTGCTAAATAAAGTAGCAGAGCTTTTGCTTAAATTATTTCTTTTGCCCAGAATTCTATTCTCTTCTATGATATTCCCCTGTATCCACCTGCAAAGTCATCAACTCCCGTGGCTTGATTTAACTCCACCATTGCGGAACTTCTATATCTTTCTTTCTTAATCTCGCTTTCTTTCTGCCCCTGTTGTATTCCCACAGGACTTTAACCTTATTTCTTTTAGAGCACTTACCACTTTGTGTCCACAAATATTATCTAAGCATCCATGTACAACAGAACCTGAGTTCCTTGAAAGGTGGAAATATGCCCCCTCCATTTTTATATACCCTTCACAGGACTTGATATTTAGCAGATGCTCTGTAAAACTTTGAATGAGTGAGAGAAATCATACCAAAATATGTTTTTTTAAATAGACAAAGACATAATGAAATTATTTGTTTATAACTTCAAGCAGAATGCCTGGATTAAGGAAGATCTGAAACCTTGTGTTCTTTAATGACTGGTAATGATTAACAAAAGCTATTTTAGTGGAGAAAATGCTTTCTCCTTCATGATGCATATCGCTGCATTTTTTTCTTTTGCTGTGTAGTTATTGATAACATTTCATCATTTTTTAGGGAAGCAATCAATTCCATTTCTATTGCTGCCCAGTTGGCTGCTGCAATCCTTATGCTGACCTCTCACTCTAAAGGTTCTACTTTGCATTAGGTCCTCTTCAGAGATAAACTTGCAAAGTGTTTGGTGATTAGATCAGGAGGCTGGTTTCAAGCATTCTATTTTTATCTCTATTGCCTGCCTTATTGTGTCACCTTGGACAAAACACTTAGTCCAGGTTTACATATACGTTTTTCACTTAAAAAACTGTGTCTCATGATAAATTCTTATTCAGACAGTAGAAAGCAATTTTCCTAAGTGCTTTACTTAATTGGTTTCCATCCACACATGATCTTCCAAGGCTGTATTTACATATCCCATCATGCAACATTGCCTCTATAATTCTCTGCTTCTCAGGAAGGTACACATCTCTGGTAATTTGTTTGTGGCTGCTGAGTTCATTCACTGATGCTTGCTCTTTATTCCCAGTGCTCTATCCTTTGAGACAGACAACAATATATTGCTTATTAAGAATATAGGTTGACCCTATAAAAGTAACACAAGCAGTGCTCTAAATGTTCAGTTTCCTAATATTAGCACCCAGGTTTGAAATGTGGCCAGTGGAATATGCTCCCTTGAGTTGGAAAATAAGATCCTTACCTGATGAAGTAGAGGTTGGGAGGAGGATCCTAGTGGGGAGATAGTCCCTCCTTTATTATTTTCTGATAGTGTAGTGGACAGTGAAAGATTTTCTGTAGAAGGCAAGAAGAGCCTGAGAGAAAGAAATGTGCTATCTGTCATGTGTTGTTTTTGCTATTTATATATGAGTGGAGTGCTGACTCAGCTAAGTATGTCTAATGAGGGGGCAAAAATCTGGGGAGTTAATTTCCCCAGATTTCATTCTGTGGAAATTAAATCTGGTCCTCAAGAAGATGATAAATACAAGAAACAAACAAGATTAATTTTCATCACCTGGAAGTTTTGTGAAAGACTTGTGTTGGGCATAAACTTTAAGTGTTTTTTTTTTCCACTTGTTTGAAAAGGTTTCAGTGATACCCTGTGGTTCTTTGGTGTCTTGTATTAGTCCACTCTCTCACTGCTATAAAGAAGACTGGGCAATTTATAAAGAAAACAAATTTAATTGGCTCACTCTTCCACAGGCTGTACAGGAAGCATGATGGCTTCTGGAGGTGTGTCAGGAAACTTTCAATCATAGCACAAGGTGAAGCGGAAGCAGGCACATTTACATGGCCAGACCAGGAGGAAGGGAGAGAAGGGGGAGGAGCTACACATTTCTAAACAGCCAGATCTCGTGAGAACTCTGTCATAAGTTCAGCACTAGTAGGTTGGTGCTAATCCTTTGTAAACTGCCCCCATGATCCAATCACCTTCCACTAGGCCCCACCTCCAACATTGGGGATTGTAATTCAACATGAGATTTGGATGTGGACACAGATACAAACCATATCAAGTCTTTTTGTAGGTATTTGCCATTAAGTTGCCTGAATTAAGGGTCTATCCTGTAGTCAGAACATAATAAGAATGTCAAACTCCCGACCTTGGCTTCCAGTTTATTGGCAAGAGCAGTGAGTAGTGAGGACTGTCTCAAGCAGACGGCAGAGAGAGAGGTATCTGGGTTTTCAGATACATAATACCTCATTTTGACTATGTGATTTTCATGTGTTTCAAATAAAGCAAATAAAATATTTTTTCTTTTTTCATAATACCAGGGGTTATATGAAAAGAGGTGTTGTCAAGGATAGTCAGCTAAAAATCTATTTGTTTCTATGAGCATTTTCAATAAATGTGACTCAAAGTGTTCCTCAAATATATCAAAAAAGTCCAATTTTCTGCTTATATGTTGTAGTTTTTTTTTTTTTGAGTGCTAAGATTTTTCAACTTTCTTTTTTTTTTATTATTATACTTTAAGTTTTAGGGTACATGTGCACAATGTGCAGGTTAGTTACATATGTATACATGTGCCATGCGGGTGCGCTGCACCCACTAACTTGTCATCTAGCATTAGGTATATCTCCCAATGCTATCCCTCCCCTCTCCCCCCACCCCACAACAGTCCCCAGAGTGTGATGTTCCCCTTCCTGTGTCCATGTGTTCTCATTGTTCAGTTCCCACCTATGAGTGAGAATATGCGGTGTTTGGTTTTTTGTTCTTGTGATAGTTTACTGAGAATGATGATTTCCAGTTTCATCCATGTCCCTACAAAGGACATGAACTCATCATTTTTTATGGCTGCATAGTATTCCATGGTGTATATGTGCCACATTTTCTTAATCCAGTCTATCATTGTTGGACATTTGGCTTGGTCCCAAGTCTTTGCTATTGTGAATAGTGCCGCAATGAACATATGTGTGCATGTGTCTTTATAGCAGCATGATTTATAGTCCTTTGGGTATATACCCAGTAATGGGATGGCTGGGTCAAATGGTATTTCTAGTTCTAGATCCCCGAGGAATCACCACACTGATTTCTACAATGGTTGAACTAGTTTACAGTCCCACCAACAGTGTAAAAGTGTTCCTATTTCTCCACATCCTCTCTGGCACCTGTTGTTTCCTGACTTTTCAATGATTGCCATTCTAACTGGTGTGAGATGATATCTCATTGTGGTTTTGATTTGCATTTCTCTGATGGCCAGTGATGGTGAGCATTTTTTCATGTGTTTTTTGGCTGCATAAATGTCTTCTTTTGAGAAGTGTCTGTTCATGTCCTTCGCCCACTTTTTGATGGGGTTGTTTGTTTTTTTTCTTGTAAATTTGTTTGAGTTCATTGTAGATTCTGGATATTAGCCCTTTGTCAGATGAGTAGGTTGCAAAAATTTTCTCCCATTTTGTGGGTTGCCTGTTGTAGTTGTTTTTAAAGAGGCAATGGATATCCTGACTAGATTGATAATAATAGTAAATATATATACTGCTCTGATATCTTAGAACAACCTTTAATACCACTTTTTATGAAAATGTTAAATATTTCACCAATTTTAGTTATTTGGGTCAACTAACAATATCATAAAGTACATTCTGGTTCTGAGCTTGTCCTGAACCTTGAGTGGAACCAACTAGTGTCTTTTGTCTCAGTTAGGTTGGTAGTCTCCTTGACTATACCTTGATTAACTTCTTTAATGTCTTTATTTCTGAAAGGTGATATTGAAACAAGCTCATTGGCACCTGTCAAATGTTTGACCTCCGAAGCTGATTGATGAGTCTATTTTTTTGACTACTGGAGTTATTTATTCCTGATATGTATTTAATCCTGCTCTTCAACCTGATGGATTGGAAAGTATACTTACTTGAAAAGTAGAGAAACTCACATGACTTTTACTGATGGATAGGATAGGCATTATCTTGTGCATAGTTCAAAAGGAAAGATAAACTTTGATGGCTAAGCCAATGAGTCATGATTGGAATTGAACTTGGAGAATATCACTACTTAGCGAAATGCTGAAACACATGTATTAAATAAATAAGTAAAACACATTTTCTGAAACTGAAATGTCTTTATTAAATAAATAAAGATAATATCTTTCTCTCTAAAGAAATGGCTTATGAAACTTGTATGATGTTTTAAAAGAAGATATATAAATGTGATATACCTTTTAATTTTAATTTTGTATTTAAAATATAAGGTATCAAAATAATTTCATCCCTACTTTTACCTAAAAGAAAGTAAATTTCTTTTTTACCATAGGAAAGAGGAAAGTCATCTGTTTATGCTATACTCATATAATAATCTCTCTCCAAGTGATAATGGAGGCTGTAATATTGAAAGAAAATATACTCCCTATTTTCCTTCAATAAAAAGTGATCTAATGGGTACACAAGAAATTATGATTTCTGCTACAAAGTCATGAGTTCTTTGAGGGAGTTAATTTGAGGGATCAGAAGATTTATTGTAACAGCTAAGGGGTGTTTTAAGAAAAGATTAACTTTGGAGCTTGAATAACATTAATTTGACCCAGCAGAATACAAGATAAGGGAGATGGTTGGGATTAAATCTCAGAATAATTTTTAATAGACCAAAGGATTTTAAACTTTGTTAGACATTAGTAAGCTAATGGCTGTGTTTGAGATTAATGTGATCAGAGTTATAGTTAAGGAATTTTAACTGATAGACTTATGTAGGTTAAATTAAAAATGGATATTGACCATTTTTGCTTTGAGTGAAAAATAAAATTAAAAAAATAAATTCTAAAAAATGGGTAGATCTTGGAAGCAGGAATGGTAGTTGTTGGATGATTAAAATAATCTAGTTAACGGTTCATGGGGCCTGAATTTGGGTGATAGGTGTGGAGTACAGAATTAGTGAGGAACTGAAAGTGGGTAGAAATGTGGCAGCTGATTGAATGGAGAAAGCAAAGAGCAGAAGTCAAGGATGACTCAGAGCCTATGACTCTGAGTAATGAGTTGTTAGTTGTAGTAAAGTTCTCATAGCAAAGCTGTAAGAGACAATTGGTTCACTTTGGCCTATCCTACACGTTGGGTATCATAAACATGCAGGCATTCCCAATGAGCTGATAGGTAGGTGTTACTTGAGGTGAAAACAATTTTTTTTCTTAACTTCTGTGGCAGACAGAGTTTATCTCCAAATTTCTACAAATAGCCTCTGATGCAAAATCTTCCAGAACTATTTTCCAAGGTATTTTATATGTTCTGTCTCTGAACACTTTAAAAAATGTTTTAAAAGTTTTTTTAAAGATAGGTTTAAACAAGCTTCAAGACAGGTGTATATGGATTTTTTAAAGGCTAGAGGGAAAGTGAGAAATCATTTAATTTAAAGCTTCATCCTAAAGTTGTGGGAACTGAAGCCTAGAGAGGTAAAGAAAAGTAAATGCCTACAATCACTCAGTGGCAGAAATTAGCTCATGGCTCCTGACTTCAAGTCTTGTACTCTTTTCACAGTAGATACAGTGGATTTAACTATGTACAATTGAAACTTTTATAGGTCAACACTTTTAGAATATTAGGAATTACAATCTGATAGCAAAACAATCAGGATAAAATATGTGACTACTTACACACAGATGGAAATTTCTCTACTAAGAACTGGTCCATCTACATACTTACTTGGGAAGTTATTTCAGTGACAAGTGGTGGGCAGAGATTAAAGTCTGTATTAGAAATCTGGAAACTAAATAAATAACATCGATGGCATATTTATTTGGAGAACACTAAGAAAGAAGGTGTTTCAAGCACATTAAAGCTTGAGAAAAGCAGAAAGGATCATAGACATAAAGTGTTTAGGATCATAGACCCAAAAACACAAAATTAAAATTCAAGCCAGTGTATGTGGAAAACATAAATTTTTTAAAAGGGTATGTGGTAAAAGAAATGAAAGGAAGATTAATATCTCCTGTAGAATAAAGGCAAAATGCATATTGTGTAAGTGTGCTAAGACCAGTGCTCAATAGGCCACAGGTGGGTACCCAATTCACAAACATGGTTAGGACTTTGTTGTGTGGGAGACTACTAAACCAAAGAAATGGTGAGAATGGTAACATTATCCTGACATCAAAACTGGAAGCAGAGGCCAAACACTGGATGATAAAGAGGATAAACAGCTGTGGCTTCTTGGTAGAGACTTGCAAAGTTTATGTTCCTTAATAACATGTTTATGGATAAAGGGGTAGAAGTAGTACCTACTTTTTTGATCAACATACATATCTATTGTAGATGTCTGTATATTATTTATGTATGCACTATGGAGACATTGGGGGAGAAAGAGAGAGAGAGAATAGAAAGCGGGCCAAAAGAACAGAGTGAGGAAAGGAGAAAAGAAAAGAGAATGCGAGCTAAAGAGACAGAGAGAGAGAGAGAGAGAGCGTATGACTGAGAATGAGGATGTGAGAGAGAAGCTTGATTTTCTTATATCTACAAATAAATACATATTTTGAAACATGCACTGTTCATTCATTCAGTGAACGTTTATTATGTACCTATTTAGTGCATTGGTGGTCTCTTTGGATCCTAAAAGAAACAAACACAAACAAAACAAAACTAAAAAACTGACAGATATATACCTTGATATTACAGATCAGGAAAGTAAGTCTCAGAAAGGAGAAGTGAAATGTACAAATTCACATGTCAGTGAAGGACAGAGCTTTTCTTTAATACAGTAATTCATTGCCACTGAGTCTATCCCAAAGGAAGTGCTCAGATTTATAAAAGAGAATAAAATATGGCTGGGCGCCGTGGCTCACGCCTGTAATCCCAGCACTTTGGGAGGCCGAGGCAGGCGATCACAAGGTCAGGAGATCGAGACCATCCTGGCTAACACGGTGAAACCCTGTTTCTACTAAAAATACAAAAAATTAGCGTGGCACGGTGGCGGGCGCCTGTAGTCCCAGCTACTCTGGAGGCTGAGGCAGGAGAATGGCGTGAATCCGGGAGGCGGAGCTTGCAGTGAGCCGAGATCGCACCACTGCACTCCAGCCTGGGCGACAGTCGTAGTCAAACACAATGTAAACCAGTGGTGGAGTCTTGGGGCACAAGGAGCATGACCTGGGGCTGGTGGAAGAGAATAATCCCATAGGGGTTTGTTTCAAGGCCTGCAGAGCAGTCCTGACTTTTCTAAAACTTTGCATCTGACAGGCAGAAAAGGAAGCCTTTCTCAAGTGTAGAGAAGATATGATGCTGCTTTCATTCTTCCAAGAAGTAAGCATTTCTCTTATAATTGCGCATTTCTCTTATAATTGCCCATAGAACAGATTCGCAAGCACTACACCGGGTAGGGATTAGAAGACCAGAGCATTAATCATGGCTGCACCAGTAATCAGCTGTGTGACCCTGGATATAGCTTCTCATGTCTCTGAGACTTGGTTTACTTATTAAAAAGATTGGGCTGAAGGAGTTTTAATGTCCCTGCTAGCTCTGAAATGTTGAGAGTTTGAGAACATGGATACACTCTTCCTGTGAAATCTTTTGAAGTCTCATGAGCTGATGCTGACTGAAAAGAGGCTGCTGATAGCAAGTGTTTGTCATTCACAGTGGCCGCCTGATATCTGCCCATCCATGTGTACGTTTGGAGATTTCCATTCCCCTTCTAACCACATTTGATGTCTCAGTGAAGAGATTACTTCCACTACTGGAGAGGAAACTGACTTTCTCAGCTTCCCCTTCAGCTGTGGCATAAGCTACATTTTGAGACCTACATTTTGGGAAGAAAATACCCCAGGGCCACTGGCTATGCTTAAGACACTTTGAGAAGCAAGTGGTACAAGTTCTCTCTCTGGAAGCAGACTTTTTTTTTTTCCTGCTCAGAACCAATTCTAAGGTGGTTTGGGGCATTTTCTTTTCCCGTAACCTTGAGCCTTGTTCTCCAGTTCTGTCATTAATTCTGTGAACTACTGAATTTATTTTTAATACATCACCATATCTTATCCTTCAAGGCCTACTTTAAGTTTCATCACCTACTTTTTTCAGACCACTTGAATATACATATCCTCAGAAGTTCAAAAGTACTCATTTTTTTGGTCAATTAGATTGGTAATTCTTAATTGTATCCTGTTTTTTTGTATTGTTATTTAACTAAGCAATTAGACTTTTAGCTCTGCAGGACGAGTTGTTTCCCATGGAATCTAGTAGAATGTTTTTATTCATTTATGCCTGAACTCTTTAAAAAAGGACCTATATCACTTATTGATCAGAACAATGAAAACACGTCTTCAATCAGAAAAAGAGGCAATCCTTGTGAAACTCCCAAGTACACTTTTTGAATTGATGGATCCATTTGTTACACTCTTCAAAAAGTTTCAACGCTGCCCTCAGCTCTTGCTATCTCATTTCGGTCTTTTGACCCTTAAGTCTTAGTTATTCCTTATGACATGGTAAAGATTGGACAGTAAAACTAATTGTGACAGTACTCAACAGAGAAAAGCCTGTAATGAATAGCATCAGGGAGACCTTGTGAAGAATTGCACTTTAAACATAAAAGGTTGCAGATGAATTGAAGAAAGGAAAAAAATATGAAAAAAAGGAAAAATTACTCCAGGGAACCTATTAAAGAAAATACACTTATATAACTTGACTTATTGAAAAGAGTAGCTGGATATGATTTTTCAAATAGGTATAAACACTTAAATGCAAATAAAATTAAACCGAATAAAATAGAAAAATTATTTTACTCAGCACAAGGGGGCAGAGTTAGCTCTTATGGAGAAATAAAGTGTCCTCAATAAACAGCCAATGGATTAAAATGGAATCTCTTCGCAAACTGGAAGACTAGAGTAGTGAAAAAACAGCACTGTGAAATTCCACACCACCTTTGCCTTGTACATTCCCTTGCCCTCCATTATCAGAATTCTCAGACCACCCCCACAAAGAAATTATTTCTGATCCTGATTTACAGCAGGGGAGTCTGAGGTACCTAGAGATTATTATCTGACTAAATTTGTATAAAAGTAGATCCATGATTTTCTGACCGTAAAGTTCACCATTCGTACAAAAGAATAATCTGCCTTTCTCAGATGGGTGTCTAGAGACAACGGATTGTGTAGCTATGATCCTTGCCCTATAAGAGTTAGCCACTTAATGCAGAGGGCAGAACAAACATACAAAAAAGCCTCTATTATCCATGCACTAGGAAGAAAGTAGCTTAACTGGCACACATGGAAGAAGCTATATGTCTACCCTTACATCTATATCTCTGTGCATGTTTATTAATTTAATACACCTATGCAAACATACCTGACTAATAGGATTAGTCTGGAATGTTTCCCAAAAAATGAACTTTGAATATAATTTTAGAAGACAGTGAGAGACACAGTGAGATCAGAGCCAATTCATCCTCCCAAAGTAGGAGAGCAGTATTGTTCAGCCAGGCATTTTACCCCATAGCATCTTATCTCACTGTTTTGCCATCACTGCCATAAGGGCTCCAAGGAGGTAAGGAAGCTTACCCAGTGCTCCTGATTTCAGATTATGCCCTTAAATCCACTGAGGTTCATTATCCCTAACGCTTGTTCCTAACTCCTTCACATCTTTTCATATTTTTGTTTCTACTTGAATTTAAAAATTTATTAATATAAGAAGACTAGATTCTCCTGTGCACCAACCTACAGAGCTTTAGTGCTTGCATTCTAAGGAGTCCTGCAGCAACACTCCCATCTATTGAAGCATGTCCACTGATATACAATGTACTTTGTTTTAAAATGTGGTTTCCTTCAACATTTTTCAAGCCCTGAAGACAACCTACGAGCATCCACTGAGACTTAGCAGCTGACTCGTTTCACTCACTTTTGATGTGGGGTCGAGTTTAACTTGAGCTACAGACAGTCATACTGGAATGCAACAGCATTTTATTGCAAAATGGATTGTTTTGAATGGTTTATAAGGCTTTATACCAGGTAAAGCAGAAAAGCAGAAAATGAGATGGATCATATCATCCATGAGAGGCAGTGAGTTATCATACTTCCATGGTGAGATGCCTCTGTCCTCTCAATCTCACCCTAAATCCTCTTCCCTTTCCACTCCTTTCCATACACATATACCAGAAGAACAATTTTTCCTTCCACAAAGAAGGAGGGCCTTAAGACCTTTAGGGAAAGGGTCAGCATACCAGATCAAGTAGCAATCCTGCCAAACCTGTGAATCATTGGGCCTTTGTGACTAAGGAGCATTGCAAGCCATGGGCCATACCAAGCGTGAACCAGAATTGCTACATAGGCTATGGAGGAACATTGAAAATAAAGGAGGGGGAAGAAATGAGACTCCCATTTTCTAGCATCAGCATTTTCCCAAACAAAACCCAAGATATGAATAAAGTGACTCATGCATTTTAAATCAATGTAGGATTTTGATGAAAGGCATGTGAGTGTAGAGACATTCTAGCCTGTGCAGTTCAGAATGAGTAAAGTTACGTGCACATGTTGTCAGCCAGGGGCAGGGAGCCAGAATGAAAAACAGAGTGAGGGGGAAAGATGTGAGATAGTTAATCTTTACTAAATTATCTCAGAATCATCTTAGATTTCATAGATGTAGGATGACTCACTTTCTGCTACAGTGCCAAGGGGCAGCTGTGAGAGACAAATTATAAATGATGAGATTGCTCATAAAGGTAAGGAAAAATGATACTCTGATACTGGCAGAGATGTAAGGGAAACAGTATAAACTCAAATTGAGAGATATGAAAAGCAGCCCTAGGTATCCTAGAGTATACCAATACTAAAGCAATGAATTAAAGCAAAACAAAAGAAAAAAAAGAAAGGGATCACTCTCTTTACAGAAACTGAAAACAGAAGCAAGATATACCCACTAATGTTCTATATTTTAAAACAATGAATTCTCATACCTTTGGTGGTAGAAACTTTGTCTTTTTTGTCAGTTTTTTAAAATCCTTAGCCCTTAAACTAATCCCATGAGTTAGTTTGGGCTATCTCAGAAACAGATGCCAAGACAGAATTATAAGTACAAGAGATTTATGGTAAGAACTGCCAGTGTTGGATAAATGGGGGGAAAGGAGGTATAGGCAGGGAAAGGCTTCAGACTGCAATGCTGAAAGGAGAGAAGGGAGAAAGGATTTTGTAGGGAGAGTCATAGACTGCGGCACAGTTCTTAGAAAGATCTCAGCCAGACTGATGGAAAAGCAAAAGTGACCTGTTACAGAAATCCAATAGGAATGGGTCAGAATCGGTAGCACTGCTGGGACCAGGCATTGACTGAGAAAAGCTTGGCAGGAGGGTGGCCTTGACAAGACTGTGCAGTTGACCCAAAGGGGCAGCAACCAGGGCTCTCTGTCACTTCTTCTCTCCAAACGGTCAGGTTCTCCAGAAACGGCATCTGAATGACACACATCCGTGGCCTCTGTACAAGTGCTCATTACATTTTGGTTGAATCCATTAAGTCATTTACAGCCAATGTCCAAATCTAGTCTTCCTGCACACCTGCACACACTGTCTCTATATTCTCTACTGTCATCATATGTCACCCATGCCTTTTAATGGCTGCTATCAGCTATGGGATTTCACTTCTAAACAGAGATTAGTGGTATAAGTGTTATGATGTAATCCATGCCTGGAACCTGCCCTTGTGGTGACCCTGTAGAGTAGGAGACAGTCCCATGTTCTACCTCTTCTGAGACCTTGGTTCATCAGTTCTTGCCTTATTTTTACATACATTTTTAAAGACATTGGTCCCTTACTTTCTGATTATAATTATACTCAAATTCTCTTTACATTGTTTCAAAAATATCCCCACACCAATCACAGTTCATACTGTTATTCTGTTGTATTCCTTAAACGTGGAGTTACTCTGGGATCAGTTTTTACGCCTGTTCTATTCTCTGTCTGGTTTCTAAAGTCTTTCTAGACTATTTCTTACTATTCTCTCCCAAGCCAAAATGCATTAGCTGCTCTAACCTTTCTCTGCAGGCCTATGGAAAGACTATGGCTGTCTGTCAAATAAGTAAATAAGTCTTCCTGTCTATTTCCTTTTTTGTAATCTTTGGTTTTCTTATTTCTTCTACCCAAGTGAGCTGTCCAGTTCTTTGAGAGTTGATACCAAGAGTCTAAACTATTTCCTAAATACACAATGATGCCTGGCACATGGTAGTTCTCAATTAAGGTTTGTTGAGTGAATACTAAATACAAATCAACTGAAGGAGAATATGGTTTGGTGATAGTGAGGAATGAAGAAATCGATTGAAACAGAACAATAATTTCCCTTAGAGTGGATTTCGTAGATAACATAATTTGTCTATATGGTAAGGTTGAGTAATACTGGCAGCAAATTATCATGCATTGCTTTTGCCAGTAGGAAGTAGACAGGATAGAAACGTGCTCCTATCTGGACAGAATACCACTGTGACTGGGCACCCTCTCCTTTTCTCATTTATTACAGGGGATGGTGTGTAGTTGATGAAAATATCAAAGAAAAATAAGAGAGCTTGGCTTAAAGGAAAAGTTATTAAGACTCAAGGTTACTCATTAAGATCTGAAGTAAAATATGTGACAGGGACACAAATATCATCTGAGCATGAAAATCTATATTCATTCAGTGAAAGGGGTCATATAGTATTGTTAATTCATTGTCAGTGTTTGTTTATACAAAGTACATTGAATTTGCAAATCAAAGTAAATTTAGAGGTGATTTAGAACAAACAGGAATATTTTTTTGAACTCAGAGAAGTGATACCCCAGAGGACAAATTGCCCCTCAGCTTTGACTGCATTTCATTATGATGTAAAATATTCTTAATCAAAAGAGATGGTTCTCTACATATAAAATCGGGGTTTTAAATTTTTTCTTAAGATTTTGAAGCGTTACCAGGCCTAACCCTAGTACCAGGAACGAAGACTTGTTTGTGGTAGAAACTACCCTTCTAATGAAATGAAGGCACAGAGCTTGTGCAGCTGAAAGTAGATTGAATCAAGGAATGTGGCCTCTGGGTGTGTAAGAGAAAGCCACAAGCCGTTATCTGGCTGAAGGTCAAGTAAGTCTTTCCTTGCCCCTCCATACATGCAGGAAGGAAAGGGAAGAGGCAAATCTCTCTTGCCCCCAAAGTAATGCTTTTCCTTTCTTTCTTCCTTACTCCTTTCCCTTCCTCTCTCCAGGACTTCTGGCTGTATCTAGAGGTGAAAGGATCTGAGCCTGAGAAAAGAATTTTATGCCTTCAGGACCCCAGTAGTTCAGGAGCGTATTAGAGATGAGGGCCTGAAGCTGAAAGAGTGATAAATGTTTTGTTTTGTTTTAGTAATTTAATGAAGACATTCTCTCTCACTCTGTCTTACTCTGTCTCTCTCATCTTTTTCGGTCCCTTATTATCTGTCTCTTAACTTTTTTTTTTTCCCCATAAACAACCTTAGTCTGATGAGCAAATAATGATTGCTGAAGGTGTGCAGAGGAAACGGGTGAGGAGTGTAGAGAAGGATGTACGTTTCTCTCCTAAGACTGAACATCATCAGTCTTCTTAATTCTCAGTAAGTGAAAAGAAACCCTTTCATGGTGGGTTCACAGCTGACCCTTCTCTAATTCAATTCAAATACAAATCCACCCATTTACCTTGGATATGGGATCTCTCATAATTACTGCAGTTTTTTTTTTTTGATAAGAACTGCACCTGATTTTATTTATGGTTCTCAACTCAGGATATATATTAGAATTATTTAAGAAGCCTTAAAAATTCTGACTTTCAGACCACTCCAATAATGAATTCAATCAGAAACTCTAGATGTGTGCTGTGGTGGTTTGCTGCACAGATTAACCCATCACTTAGGTATCTAACCCAGCATCCATTAGCTATTCTTCCTGATGCTCTCCCTTCCCCCAACCCCCATAGAGGCCACAGTGTATGTTGTTCCATGTGTTCTCATCATTCGCCTCCCACTTGTAAGTGAGAACATGCGGTGTTTGGTTTTCTGTTCCTGTGTTAGTTTGCTGAGGATAACAATTTCCAGCTCCATCCATGTCCCTGCAAAGGACATGATCTTGTTACTTTTAATGGCTGCATGGTATTCCATGGTTTATATATACCACTTTTTTTATCCAGTCTGTCACTGATGGGCACGTGGGTTGATTCCATGTCTTGGCTGTTGTGAATAGTGCTGCAATGAGCATACACATGCATGTATCTTTATAATAGAATGATTTATATTCCTTTGAGTATATACCTAGTAATGGGATTGCTGGGTCAAATGGTATTTTTTGCTTCTAGATCTTTGAGGAATTGTCACACTGTCTTCCACAATCGTTGAACTAATTTTCATCCCCACCAACAATGTAAAAGCATTTCTTTTTCTCAAAAACATGGAATGCTTCATGAGTCTGCATATCATCTTTGCTCAGGGGGCACGCTAATCTTCTCTGTATTGTTCCAATTTTAGTACATGTGCTGCCAAAGTAAGCACTGTATTTCTCAGTACTTCAGACAATTCCAAAGTGTGGTCCAAGTGGAGGACCACTGTTTAGGGTCAGAGTTTAGGGTCATCTCAACAAACAGACACACAATATCCTAAGGTATTCATGTCTCACACACATATTTTGACTTATTAGCAGAGTAAAAATATGAGAAACATGTCAAGCTGGACTTTAAACATTTAGCTTTCTATAGATATGAACATGAAAACATGTACAAAAATTCCACAGTAAAATTAAACTGATTGATGCCTTACTGGGCAAGGACTAGTAAAAGTATATTTTAACAAAGTGTTCAAATTATTTGTGTCCACATAGTGAATATAATGTTGGCTATGACATGGACTGAGAGTGTATTTTTATATTAAATTGCAGTACTAAGGAGCTGTTTAGTAGATCAACTTCTGTTATGGTGCTATGCTTGGATAAGAAGAGAAATGATTGACAGTTTTGCAGGATCATGCTGAAAAATCCCACCCACTTCAAGATAATTAAAACATGAAGTAGGCTGTAAGTGGAAGTGTCTGGAGAATGGCATTTTTTTTTTCCTGACAAGTGATGTATAGGATTTGATTCTTTGGGGGTAGTAATTTGTTTCCAGTTTTGTTTAACTCTAAACTATCCATGAACATAGACCTCAGAGACTCCATATCGTTACTTGATTTTTCTCATTTACATATGCTACAAACATATTTATTTACTGTGGGTTCGTTACTGATGGAACAAAGATAAATAAAAATACAGCTTCTCCCATCAGGTTGCCACAGTGTAATGCTCAAAATATAGTCAGAATTACTTGGGTGCTGTGAAAATGTAGATTCCCTATGATTCTAAAGATTCTGATAAAAGTTTGCAGTAGAACCCAGGAAACTTCATCTTCATGGACTTCTGCATGGAATTAGTGGAAGGATTTATAATGTGAATCTTTTTGGAGATGACATTGGTGTTCTGAAACTATCTGTGGTAAAGAACCCATTTTAATTTTTTTGTTGTTTTTTGCTCTTATGAATAAAGCTGCTGTGAACATTCAGAAAAAATTTTCAGTGTACAAGAGACTAAGTGAAATCTAATAAAAGGCCAGGCGCTGTGGCTCACGCCTGTAATCCCAGCACTTTGGGAGGCCGAGGTGGGCCGATCATGAGGTCAGGAGATCGAGACCATCCTGGCTAACACAGCGAAACCCCGTCTTTACCAAAAATACAAAAAAATCAGCCAGGCACGGTGGTGGGCGCCTGTAGTCCCAGCTACTCTGGAGGCTGAGGCAGGAGAATGGCATGAACCTGGGAGGCGGAGCTTGCAGTGAGCCCAGATCATGCCACCGCACTGCAGCCTGGGCTAAAGAGCAAGACTCCATCTCAAAAAAAAAAAAAAAAAAAAAAAAAAACAACTAATAAAAATTAATTTATAAGGAAAAAAGCAATGAAGGGAAAACCTACAAAATACAATCCCTGATTTTCATTATTAGATTCAATAAACATAAAATTACTGTGTCAAATTGCTATAAAAGTTTTTAAATGCCTGCTCTTAGTTTTTGTACTTATTCTGTTATAGACTGGTAAATAATTTGCAGACTGACACTGAGCCACACACCAAACATTGAGTAGTATTATTTCCAATTTTTGTTCAGAATAGCAGTAATTCTGTGAAATACCAATAGGCTAGAAACCAGAGGAAAAGAGTCAATGGTCAATTAAGTTTGGGAAATTGTCAGATAAATAAAATTTCCTTACAATAAAAGATCTTAAAATGTCTACTATACCAGTTTGTTTGTAAATGCAAGAGAAAGATAGCATATGGGTTTTCCTAAAATTATTCAACCATGGATTTGTTTCCAAGAGCTGATTAACAACTCTAAGAACCCAGTCTTGAGTTGAACACAATTAAGGAAATGCTGATCTAGATAATTTTCCTTATTTAACAGTTGAGGAAACAGAACCTAGACATGTCAAGTGACTTGGCTTATAGTCAAACAACTATTTCATTTACCAGTTAACTGAATAATTAATTAAATTTATTTATACTAAATTAAGCAAAATTTTAATGAGTATTTATTTATTAGGGTCAGGTACTCTACCAGTGCCTTGTCTTCCAGATTTATAATTGGAATCTTTTACACACATGAAATGCCTAACCATCTACCTCAGGAACCCTTGGTTCTCATTTTTCTGCAGACACATATATCGCTAATTTTCCTGTGTTGTTTACTTTGTGTGCTTCAATCATTCTTTCTAAGATTTCCCTACTGTTTATAACTGAGGACATTTTTCTGGATGATGTTGGCCTAATCTTAGCCAACTTTGTTAAGACTGAATAGTCATGCAATCTGGTAAAAAGATTAGCATATTTATTTCGTTTTGTTTTTATTTCAAAGAATATTTGCATAGCAGTTACTACAGGTCCATTTTCTCAGCTACTACCGGCCAAACCATGTTCTTAGCATTTCACATGTACTAACTGAGTTAAACTTTAAATTAAGGGTTTGATATAATTATTTTTATTTTACTTATTTGGAGATCAGGAACCTGAGACATGGAAATATTAAGTGGCTTGTTCAAGGTTATAGAGCTTATACCTGGTAGACTTAGGATTCAAACCCAAGCAACCTGGTTCCGGAGTTCATGTTACACCAGGTAGAATTGTACATCCGCTTTATGAGAATAACAAGTATACTGGTTTAAGGTAATCGGAAATTACCCAAATGAACAAGAATTATTCTAAAGAATTCAGGGTTGTAATGGAAAGGGATTTTAATGTTCAGATAAATGCTTTTCCTTTTTCACTGTAATTCATCTGGACAAGAAACTGTTTTCTTCAGGAGATGTGACAGAGAGGATTTTCAAAGGCAGTAAAAGCTGTAGAGACATATTATCTTAGAGAAGAATGATCCTTAAAGATTATCATAACTGGAGTTCTTAATTGCATTTTAGAAGTTGGAACGACTGTAGATTTTCTATAATAAAATAATGGTGGGATTATCTACATGTACTGGGAGATAGTTTAATAAACAGAATCATCTTAAAAATTTTCTCCTATGATATTTTGCCATTTATTCATTAAAAACAAGTTATTGAGTATCTATAATGTGCTACATAGTATGAAAAGTGCAAGGGATACTACATTGACTAAAACAAGTTCTCTGCCTCCATTCACATCAGTCTGCTGGAAGAGAAAGCTTTAAAACACAAAATGAAACAAACAAATGTGCTGCATATTACCATTTATCTGCACAGTAATTTATTATGAAGCAGCATATAACAGCATATTCTTCAATATAATATTTTTGTGTGTGTTCCCCCAAGAGAATCATGACTTGTAGGTTTGAGAATCACTACTCTAGTTTCCACCTTGACTTTATAGGTTAGCATAATGGATACTCTGGAGTTTATGACTCATCTAGTTCAAGATGTGGTGGAGCCGGGGTGGCCTTCATGTCAACAGATTCTAAATCAATGGCTGTTTTTATGTTTCTGACTTATGTAGTCATTTTTATTTCATCCTACTATCCACACAATTATGAGCTAATAGAATATAGCTAATTCCTTCTCTTTTATTTATTATGAAAGAAAATGTTTTGATTTAGAGATGTTTACTATAGGCCAAATTTTCATTTTTAGCATTCTACCTTTATATAAATTGATACATGGACGGTATATTTTTACATAATTGTTCATAGGTTATATATTTTTATCTTTCAAATGTATCAAGTATCAACATGTTTAAGATTAATTTTATAACTAAGAACTCTTTATTAAAAAACTAAAACATTATCCATAAAAAAAAAAACATTTCAAAGAAGTCGCTTTTGACCTCCAAGCCTTATTCTTGGTCCCCTCTCTACCTTTCTAGATGTAGCCACTGATCACATAAGTGAGTTTAATATGAGTTCTATGGTTATTTTCCATATGTCCATATGCCTCTGTTATAACTATACCTCTATGGTAACCACAGAAAGTACACTGCAGTTTTTAAATATGGTATTGTACTGAAAGTATCTTTTAGCCATTTGCTTTTTTTTAAGTAGAATATCAATTTATTTTATAAGACATAGATCTACCTTCTTCTTCGTAATTGTTGCATAATGTTTCATAGTTTGGATGTAACACAGCTCATTCGACTATCCAAACAATTCCCAATTATAAACAGTGATACAATGAATATCTTTGTAGAGCTTTTTTATACATTGAATAAATTTTTCAACATGTCAGCTGTAAGCCTAACAGGAACAAGGCAGTGACATTTCTAACAAGCAGTCAGTAACTCATCACAGGCTATCAAGGCAAAAATTACCTGCCATAAGATGTTAATATTTTGCTTTCATAGATCAGCTTCATGGAAGTAACATGCAATGCTAGGATAGTAGCAAAAACAAAGGAAATTGGCATACATTTAATGAATAAATACAACTTAATCAATCCAGAAATATTTATCAAAGACTTGCCTACCTGGTGCCAGGGTTTCTGTTACAGGTAAGGAAGAACAATGGTGCACAAGACACAGATTCTTCTTTCAAGGAACTCACAATCTTAAGGGAAAGAGAAAGACATATAATTAAAGTTTATTTCCTTATGTCGTTCAAGTCTTTTTGTAGGGATATGAGTAGGGTAGTATGATGCCTTATCGGAAAACCTCCTAAAAGGGTGGGTGTGTCTACTAAGTCTTTTCAAGGTGTGACTTCTAACTTGAGATCTGAAGGAGGACCAGAAATTGCAGCCAGATGCCGGGGGTGAGATGGGAAGGACATTCCAGGCAAACTGCATGTGCAAACACATAGAAGACACAGCTATATGTAAGTAGGAGTAAAAATAGCTTAGTATTTACTACTAGAGTGTAACTATTAAACTATGGTATGAAATATGAGAGACATACAAACTGTTACAAATGCATGTTCTTTATTTTAGTACTATAATTTTGATTACATCAACTAAAATATCTTTTATTCCTTTTGTAGTAACCCACCCATATTTAATGTTATAATTCAATGCACTTGATCCTTAGTCATTTATTCAATATTTAACAAATATCTACTGAGTCATGACTTAATGAAAGGTGATATCTTGGATGTTAAATTCAGATTTCACTCAAGGGGAGAAAGGTATTCCTAATTAAGTGTAATATCCATTAACACAATTTGAAACTGGAAGGTAGCAAGAAGAAAACAGTGCAGATATGAAATCAGAGGCCACATTCAAAAATAAATTTTTTTTCCATAAAAAAATTAAAATTTATACTGGTTTACATTGCATATGTTGTTGATATTTCAGAATAAGAATTATTGTTAGAAAGAAAACCTACCTCTAGTCTTATGAACCCAAAATTTTAAGTAGAATTTTTTTTTGCAGTGGAATCTTCACTATTATCCAGTTAATTCCATTATTTCGTGTGGCAAGAATAATAATAGGTATCAAATTATTTAATTAATTTAAGAATATGTACTTTATTATATTTTATTCTCTACTTCATCTTTTCTCCCCTATCCCTTAAGGATATCTCATCATTTTATGTCTTTGTGTTTCTTTAATTTGGATTTGGTCAAATAAAATATAAAACAACTCTATTACAACAGCCACTTCAATAATCAAGATGATAATGTAATAATGGAATGTTAAAATATTGTCTCCTTTGAGATAAAAGTAATTTAAAATGCATGTTACCTACTTCAGATTGTTTTCAGACACCCAATTGGACGCCTAATTAGAAAGCATAAGGAAAATCCCAGGGAAGCAGCATTGCCACAGAGAATATGAGGAAAAAATAAAATGGCTTGTGTAGGAATAATCAGGAGAAAAGTTTAATGATTTTGAACTTTGAGTAGTAGATTTAAAGTGTTACCTTCCAGTTTCAAATTGTGTTAATGGATATTATACTTAACTAGGAATACCTTTCTCCCCTTGAGTGAAACCTGAATTTAACATCCAAGATACCACCTTTCATTAAGTCATGACTCAGTAGATATTTGTTAAATATTGAATAAATGACTAAGGATATACTTCAAATATACTACTCTGTTGAGTAATATATTTAAAGTGACAGAGGATATGCCTACAGATGTCAAGATGGAATTTATTCATTCATTCCACAAAATTCAAGTGCCTACTTGGTACCTGGCACAGTTCTAGATACCTGTGATTCATCATTGACTAGAACAAAGATGACTGCGTCTCAGTCAAATGTTAGAAACTTTTTATTTTTATTTACCAAGAAAAATCTAACAAAAGGAAAAACATATAACCTATACTTTTAAAAGGTTTATGCAGATGTTTATATTTCTTATGTGACCAGTTCAGTGGAATTTGCAAGTTTATTTTTTGGGGGGGGGGGATTTGTAAAATTATTGCCAGTGGACATTTTCTAGACACTTTTCTTTTTTAGATTCTCTTGCTATCAAGGAAAAAACCTGGGATCTTGTGCTCAGTGGACATAGATGACATTTGCCTGATCGACATCTATGATTTACACGTAATACTTTATAGCCCAAACATAAATGCATTATATTTTAACTGTAATGCTGCTAATCATACTTTAAAATCTGTTTAGAGTGGACTATTGAATTAGTTTTATTCATTTATTCATTTTAAAATTTATACTTCTAACTCATTGCATTAATGAATTTTTTTCAACAGATATAACTTAGTGTCATGTTAGTTGGTTTTACTAAAATTGGTATATTTTATGAGCATTGGATTTTAATCTTAAACTCTTCTGTCAATGAAAGACTACAATATTTTACTACAACTTTCTGGCAGATATGAGCAGAGATTTAAGGCTTGACTTGTTATCACCTTCTCCCTCATGGGATTTTCATTAGAGATATCATTTCTCTTCAAACTTCAGATGATATAGAAAGAAGTACCAAAGGGAGAAAGTGGATTAGTAGGAAGCTTAAGGGAAAGAAAGGTGTCAATATCCTTCAGGCATAAAATCAAATTTGAAACACTTGAAAATCGTAAGGGCCTAGGAAGGTAGATAAGGGTCTAAGGTTGTATACAGAAAAGGTATCCATAAAGAGCTGCAGGTGGGGAGGAAAGTAATGGCATGGGTGCAGGAAAAAACACTACTCTAAATAATAGGATTTAGTAGAAAAGATTCAATAGAAAGTTATATCTTTAAGAAGTTATCACACTCATGTGAGTACATACATCCTTCTTGTATCGGTCCATTTTCATACTGCTACAAAGAAATACCTGAGACTGGGTCATTTATATAGAAAAAAAGGTTTAATGGACTCGCACTTCCACATGGCTGGGCAGGCCTCGCAGTCATAGCAGAAGGCGAAAGAGGAGCAAAGGCACATCTTACATGGTGGCAGGCAAGAAAGTGTGTGCAGGGGATCTGCCCTTTATAAAATAATCAGATCTCATGAGACTTACTCACTATCACAAGAACAGCATGGGAAAAACCCGCCTCCATGATTCAGTTATCTTCTGCCATGTCCCTCCCACAACACGTAGGGATTATGGGAGCTACAACTCAGGATGAGATTTGGGTAGGGACACAGCTAAACCATATCACCTGTGATGATGTTCGATGGTAATTTGTTTTGGTTTTATTTATTTATTGAATTTAATTTGCTTGCTTCTCTCTTTCTTTCTCTCTTTCTCTGTCTCTCTCTCTCTCTCTCTGTCTTGGCACTATTTTCTCCCTAGTATTATGGTTGGTGTACTGTTATACTTACCCAATCCTACCTGGTAGACAGTAAGCTGTATCAGGATAAGGGTTGGGAAAGGACATTCTCTGTCCCTGTGGTACTCAGCATGTTACCATATACATATATGCTAACCTTATTCAAAATCCTTTTGTTGAATGAAGAAATGAATGACTAAATGGATGAATGAATGAACAGATAAATAAGTGAAAAACCAAATGAGTAACGTATTAGGTCTTGGAAATAGTGCAATTTAAACTTAAAGTGGTAGATACACTATTACTCATTAAGTTCCATAGGAAGCGTACTCTGAGACAAAGACCAAAGTTCATTCAAAGTGATATTGAGTTTAACACCTGTGGGAGAGTGAAGGCGGCATGATTGGGCAGAGAGAGTTGCTGATCCACAATTTACTTATAACAGAGGACTCATGGGGCTAGGGGCCAGGACTTTATGGCCCCGCACAGACCTGTCATTAGGCAAAGGCTGTCCCAGAAAGGTTGTGACTTTGAAGGAAGACTCAATTGATATCTCAGTGAGAGACTCAGTAGTGGGGGAGTGAATGTTCTTCTCCTACAGGTGAGGGTCTAGAGAATCACCACAGCATCTACTACAAATACCAGAAACAACCGTGGGTGCTATTTCCATGGAAGGCAAATCCAGGGCCAATGAATGGAAGAGAGGACATTTTCAGCTCAAAATAAAGAAATATATTTAAATGATGTTCATCATTTAAAAAATTCTTAGAATGTAAATATTTAAACAGAGCCTAGTCTGTTCTGTTCCATCACATAATTATTAAACATCAGATGCCAAAGGGAGAGGATAAGATTTAAGATAATTCCCAGCTCAGCGATTGTCATTTTACCTTTTTCTTCTTCTTTTTATTTTTTACTGTAATTCAGACTCAGTGAAATTTAAGCAGGGGTTTATACTGATATATTTTCTTATTTTTATCATAAAATGAACCCATCAGAGTTCCAGGGTTAGCCCATGAATGGCAGTAATTAGACTCTCGGGATATGTGAGGGCATATGTAAATAACACTATACGTGTTTCCCAAGAGTAGTAAAAATCTAAGGTAGGGATACTGGAGAGTTAGAGGAGTGGAAGAAATAAAAGGACATTGAACAGTGAATGAACTTAATTCAGCTACAGTTTTTTTCTGAAGGAAAGTGACTATGTGTTTTCATATGAGGAAAGGAAAATAGGAACTGTTAAGCCCCTGTTCAGTTCTAGGCCCCGGGCTATATGCTTTATCTATGTTATCAGTATAATAAAGGCAAAATATTATATCACAGTAAATGGGCACCAGGCACCCTTTTAAGTATTTTACGTGTATTAACCATTCATGGTAAGCATGTTAATATTATTCTTATTTTATGAATGAGGAAATTGGGACATAGAGTTTCAGTAACTTTTTCAAGGTCACTGAGATAAAAGGTAGCAGCACTGAGATTTGAACCTATGGTAACATGAAATACTGCTGTTCATCTTATTTAAAAGATGGGTCTTCATTGTTCGCTGCAGAATGATGTAAAGCGTACTGAATTGAGAAATAACTCCAAAGTGCTGAGATAAGATTGCCAGTCAAAATAAAAGTGGCCCAAAATGAGATGAAAAATCCCCCTTAACAAGGATTTTCTAAAGCAAGTCTGACACATCTCTATTGATAGTAAATCAATCCATTGTGTTTTTGACTATGCAGCTTGCATTTTGATGGAGCATGTTTATGTGAATTTGTGTGTGTGTGTGTGTGTGTGTGTGTGTGTGCACCCAGTGTATAAACTGAGTTGTTCTTCAGGGCTGTACAGGTGTCTTCAGTGTTCCCTGCTGCTTCCAATATAGGCAAACAGTTAAAATGTTAAAATAATGTGTTCTAGGGAGGAAAACTGTGGAGTGGAGTAGGTAAGACAGAGGTTTCATTTTAACTTCATCATTTATTAGCTGCAAAAATTTGATTAAATTACTAAAACTTTCTAAGCCTCAATTTTCTTGCCTATTAAATGGAATATACCTACCTTTTAAAATATGTCATAAAAGAATCAATGAGGTAGCATGTCCATAGTTCCTGGCATATCACAGAGGCTGAAAGCATACTATGTTAGTTCTCTTTTATCTTCTACGTCCTATAACTAGTCAATCTTTAATTCATGTAAGGTAGCAGATAGATTCCTCCAAAAGGCAATCTAATTTAATAATTTGAAATGTGCTAACTCAGCATGTTTCTCTAAGCCCTATCCTACCTTGCTTACTGTGTCTCTTGTCCATTTCATTGAGCATTAGCTATTTCCTTGGAAGCTACTTATGCATGACAAGAAAGGAAGCTTAATATATTTTTCTTTGGTTTACTTTTTCAGATATATAGAAAATCCACATCTCTAAAGACAGCAGTGGAAATTCTAAGAAGGTTAAACCATTAGCTAATGTAAGGCTTGGGTTTTTTTCTATAGATTTATTTATACCATCTCTACCCTCCCCAACCACAATAAATAAAAAATGGTTGAGGTTATGTCTAGCAGGACAAGTAGATATATTTTGTTGGGCAGCTTGATAATGGGCCAGGAAGACCTCACATGGAGGCGCCACTCTTTTATGGTAATTTAGTTATTTTTTGACAGTGATAAGGAAAATGATGGAGCCACTGCTTTCCTATTAGTGAGCTATTCTAGGCTACAGTGAGTTTATAATTAATCAGTTGACATCAAATGAATGATAACCTTGCTTTTTAACATTTGACTTATAGGGCATATTTCCATCTCACCAAATTACCTATTTTGAATGTTATAATTTTCATTCTGGACCTACATATTAATATTTTTTGTTAACTAGTAATTTATATGTACAATCAACACTCATTTTTGCAGAAGGCAATTATTCAGTCTAATAATTACCTGGGCTCTTTGGTTCCAATTTTTCCCCTTAACTTGTCCTTTTTTGGCCATTCATCAACAGCTTTATCCTAGAGAACAGAAAGGAGGTAGGAAGCTTAGGTGAGTCTCATGTAAGATAGTTGGACTTCAGGGTTTGAAAAGGTCAAACAGCAAAAAAGTCAAATGCAGGGCTAAAGTGAGATTGTGTTTTCAGTGGAGGTTTTTTTTAATTTAATGTTGAAAATAATATGCAGTACAGTAGAGTCCCCTTTTCCACAGTTTTGCTTTCTATGGTTTCAGTTACCTGCAATACAGTACAATAAGATATTTTGGAGAGAAAGGCTACATTCACATAACTTTTATTGCAGCATGTTGTTATAATTGTTCTACTTTATTATTAGTTATCGTTGTTAATTTCTTACTGTGCCTGATTTATAAATTAAACTTTATCATAGATAGGTATGCGTAGGAGAAAACGTAGTGGATGTAAGGGTTGCTGCTATCAATGGTTTTAAGCATCCACTGGGGGGTCTTACAAAGTATCCCCCATGGATGAGGTCAGACTATTGTATTCTTGATGTTAGTATTTAAAGCCAAATTCATAGTTGCAACACCCATAAGCTGACAGACTGTGTATATTTGTGTGTCTGTGAGAATATATTTTGTCAGCACTTAGTCTCCTTCATAGAATCCTTTTATCATTCTAATGTCACTTATTATGGATATCTTATTTGTAAACATAACTCAAATGCACACCTTTGGCAGGGAAATTGTATCTTATTCATCTCTGCATCTCCCTTGCCTACAACTTGCCCTACAGTCATTAGAAACACTCTTGCTGCTGAATAAGTAAATAAATGAGAGATGAATTAATGTTAAGGAACAAAATTAGAACACAATTTAAATAATTCTTCATATCACATATGAGATGCCATATTTCTGGTCAGTATTCCAAGCTGAAAAATGGATTCTGTGTTATTCAGATGCCAACCTCAATCCTGGAAAATAAACTACTATAGTCGCAATCCTCCACAGCAGTTCTGTGTGTAATTTAACAATGCATGCTATCCGTTAGCTACTACCGAAGCTTTGGCTCCAGATGCAGTCTTGGCATCATCAGGCAGCAAACAAAGAATCGATCAAAAGGCTGGAGACAAGTTTGATATATGCAGTTCACTCCTCATCTTGGAACATCACTGCCAGTCATGTCTTTACAGCTGTGGGCGAGTTTGTTCATTTTATAACACCTACAACATTACTACATAAGCTTTCATAATCTGACTGTCAGAAATATCTCAGGGTGAGTATTGTACCAAGAAAAGACTGGCGTAGCATGGCCAGGGACGCAGCAACTGATGCATGAGAAACAATGGTCAGGCCTTTCTTGTGTAGCTATTTTTTTCTTTTCTCTTCGTCTGTGTAATCGGGTATAAGGAAGTATCGGTACCAGTGTTAGACCCAATTATTAGTGCAGACCTTTTACATTGTAATCTAATTCTGTCTTTTCTCTTCCCCATTAAGGTATTTAAAAGCAAACAAAAGAGTTTTATGATGAAGAAGACAAAAATAACTGGGGAAATTTTAGGGTGCTATCATTTTAACCATTTTCATAGTTGTATTTCACCTTAAGGATGGGCAGGAACACCTTTCTGCACGCGCACACACACACACACACACACACACACACACACACTTATAATTATTTTTGTACATTTATGAAAACTTATTCTTCCATGAGCACATTAAGGCAACATATGAAAATGCAGCTGCTCCTCCGTAACTTCCCTACTGAGAAGCCAGATGATGATCATTCTGATTATTTTGTCCCATGGGAGTGGCTTTAGAGTGGAATGTGGGTTCCTGGCTCTTCACCATGATGGAGGTTCTGGGCCTTTTCCACATGCCTATGTACTGCTGGGTGCAGGGCTGAGGGAGAGAATGGGGCAAACACCAATGCATGCTGGTCTTCCTTTCTTCAGTCTCCTTTCCCACCTGCTACTCTGCCTTTCTTGAATTACTGCTTAGTATTGGAATAGCTTTCGTGCTAGAACGGCACCCGTGCAATAACAAATACTGCCTCATTTCAGTATGATGAATGAAGAGTTTTAATGAAACTGGCCCAAACTGCTCTGGCAAGCTGCCTTATTTTTGTGTTCTAAATGGGAGTGATCCATCAGCCACATGCAGTGTCTCTGTCTCCACATCCCCCCTCCATGCACCTTGCTCATCTTCCTCACCAGGCTCTCAGACTCTCTGCTCCTCTCACCTGCCTGTTCTTCCAGTCTTCTGAGCTTGACCAGTGGGGTGGTGATCCTCTGCACCCTCCCACTTCATATCACTAATCTCTGCTGATGCACTGTGTGAGTGGCTGCATAGCTCGGTGCATGTGTCTCCCGGCTTCATTCTTCCCCAGCCCAGGATACTGGCACGCTAATGTGGTAAAATGTCTGGCAGGTATTAATTACACTTGCAGACGGCTCCTTCATTAGAGTTGCCGATCTCCCCTGAGCAAGGTTGTAAATCAAACTATGATTCATGACTTTTAAAAAATTGGAAAAGATAAACAAACACTAAAGGGAAAAAAAGTCTTCCAAAAATAATAAATATAAATGAAGAGGAGGGATGACACCTTAATCAAACTGGCTGGTAGCTGCAAGCAGCTCAGCATTTTGCTAGGGTGAAGGTTTGTTAGATGGCTCTTTCTCCTTGTTATTTGTTTCATCGTTTAAAAAAAAAGTAAATAGCACAGAATTCTTTTTATTTCTTTTGGAGAGCTGTTTAAGACAGACCGTGTGATGAAAGTGCAATCTGCATAGTTGTTTGAAGGATGATAGTGAGGTGGGGGTTTCATTAACCAGGAATTTAAATGAAAGGAGAAGAAAGATGAAGAGGGGAAAAACAACTCTGAAGGCTGAAAGTTCCTCTCTGAGTAGAGTTTTCCTTCTTTTCTTGAGTAGTTTTTCTACAAAATACCAATTTGTGAGGATCATATGCCTGAAATCCTAATACTCTGAAGCTGTTTTAGACTACCTTTTAGCTAATTCTAAACCATCAATGCTATTGTAAGAATAGCTATCTCTCAGGGTTGCTGTAAGGATTATATGACATAGTGCAAATTAAAACTCATTAATAAAAAATTAAAAATCATTATTCACATATATGTATATAACTTGGAGACAGATATCCATCAAAATAATTAGTATTATTCATTTTATTTTAGCAAGTAAGCCTGTATTGCTTACCCACTGTATCCCCAGCAGCCTGAAATATACTGTAAGTTGTACCTTTGAAATAGAATGAGTTACCATTGCTTTTATTGGACTTTGCTATTTAAAGTGGGAGAGAATTTCACAGAGGCTAAAGCATAGTCAACAAGTCTCACAGGAATTCAGACATAGATGTGGTTTTGTATGACTGGGAAAGGCTTCATGTAAAAGGCTGGACTCAAGCTGGATCTGAAAGATGAAGTGGATTTCCATAAATGTCCAACAGAGAATGCCTTTGGGAGATGCAGACTGTACAATGAGCAGATCAAATGGGGAAAAGGTTTTGCTGTATTTGGGGAACAGCATGGAGGACAGTCCCTTGGGCAAGAGAATCATGACCTTGTATAGTAGAGGATGAGACTCGCTGTAATGAACTGCTGTATCAAAGACAGGTAGAAGAGTTTTGAAGAAAACTCCAACCAACACAGGTATTTCAGGTGACACATATCTCTGTTTCTATTTTGTTTGCCTGCTAGAATAACCACACTCAGGTTATCGGGAACACAGAACATGGAGAGAGACTCTGAGCTCTTTAGCAGTTTTGCCATTACATTTAGGTTCTGCGCAGTGGCAGTGAAAGTTATTGTTAGGACTTTGTATTGGGGAAGAATCACTTGGGACTTGGGAGACTGGCCATATATTGCCCAGCATCCAACCTGCTATCTACCTTCCATCTTTGTCTTAAGTGCTTTTGAAAGTAGTTGGCCAGGAGACCATGGGATGGCCTGGGGACCATGGGAAGTTACTGTGGCTCAGTAGAGACAATTCAGATTTGCCTCTATTCAGCTGTAGTAACAGAGATCATTCAAATTGGTCTCTACTCAGCTATAGTAACCAAAACAGCATGATACTGTTGTAAAAACGGACACATAGACCAACAGAACAGAATAGAGAACCCAAAAACAAATTCATACATCTAGAGTGAACTCATTTTTGACAAGTGTGGCAAGAACATACATTGGGGAAAGGACATTCTCTTCAATAAAATGGTGCTGAGAAAACTGGATATCCCTATGCAGAAAAGTAAAAACCAGAACCCTATCTCTCACCATATACAAAAACCAAGACAATGTAGATTAAGGAATTAAAATCTAAGACCTCAGAGTATGAAACTACAAAAAGAAAATATTAGGAAAACTCTCCAGGATATTGGGCCAGGCAAAAATTTCTCGAGTAATACTCCATAAGCACAGGCAACCAAAATAAAAATAGACAAATGGGATCACGTGAAGTTAAAAGGCTTCTGCATAGCAAAGGAAACAATCAACAGAGTGAAGAGACAATCCACAGAATGGGAGAAAATATTTACAAACTATGCATCTGACAAGGGATTAATAACTAGAATAAGGGGCTCAAGCAACTCCCTAGGAAAAAATCTAAAAATCCAATTAAAAAATAGACAAAAGATCTGAATAGACTTTCTCAAAAGAAGACATACAAATGCCAAACAGGTATATGAAAAGGTGCTCGATATCATTCATCATCAGAGAAATGCAAATCAATACCACAATGAGACATGATCTTACCTCTTTTGAATAAAACAAGTTAAAACTTGTTTTATTCAAAAGATGAGCAATAACAAATGCTGGCAATGATGTGGAGAAAAGGGAACCTTTGTACACTGTTGGTGGGAATGTAAATTAGTACAACCACTATGGAGAACAGTTTGGAGTTTCCTCAGAAAACTTACAATAGAACTACCATAGGGTCCAGCAATCCCATGGCTAGGTATATATCCAAAAGAAAGAAAATCAGTGAATCAAAGAGCTGTCTGTAATCCCATGTTTATTACAGCACTATGCAGAACAACCAATAATTTGAAGCAATCTAAGTGCCCATCAACAGATGAATGGATTTTTAAAAATGTGGTACATATACACAGTGGAGTACTATTCAGCCATAAAAAAGAATGAGATCCTGTCATTTGCAGCAACATGGATGGAACTGGAGGTCATTATGTTAAGTGAAATGAGCAAGGCACAGAAAGACAAACTTTGTATTTTCTCATTTATCTGTGGGAGCTAAACGTTAAAACAATTAAACTCCTGGAGATGGAGAGTAGAAGGATGGTTACTAGAGGCTGGGAAGGGTAGTGAGGTGATGGGGAAGTAGAGATGGTTAATGTATACAAGAATATAGTTAAATAGGATGACTAGGATCTAGTATTTGATAGCACAACGGGGTAACTACAGTCAATAATAATTTATTGTACATTGAACAATAACTAAATGTATAATTGGATTGTTTGTAACACAAAGAAAGGATAAATGCTTAACATGATAGAGACTCCATTTATGCTGATGTGATTATTATACATTGTATGCCTGTATCAACATATCTCATGTACCCCACATATATATATATACACCTACTATGTACCCACAAAATTTAAAAATATAAAAATTTAAAAATATGGAGATCCATTCCTACTTGGTTCCAGATGAATTATAGTTCTCTGTGAGCCAAGAAACATCTATATAATTTATAGTCCATTTTGGCTTGCTTTTATAAAGAAAACGTTATTTTCATTCTTAAGAAAATACAGGCTGCATAACATGATGCAATAGTTGATGGAGGCAGTAAACTGTTTCAGTCCTTACTTTAAAACAACAGCAGCTACAAAAACTGGTCTCTACTCAGAAAGGTTATGTGTGGGAAGGGACCACCACTTGAGTTCAGAGGAAGGTTCATTTGCTAGGATTGTTGTAACCAAGTACCACAAACTGAGTGGCTTACATAACAGTAATGTATCGTCTGAAAACTCTGGAGGCTACAAGTTCAAAATCAAGGTCTTGGTAGGATTGGTCTCTTCTTAGAAATGTGGTTTGTAGATGTATTACTGCAATCTCTGCCTTCATGTTCACATACTGTTCTCTGTGTGTTTGTCTGTGTCCAAATTTCCCTTTTTTATAAGGACACCAGTCACATTGGTCACCCTACCCCAGCATACCCTCATCTTAACTAATTACGTCTGCAAAACCCTGTTTCCAAATAAAGGCACATTCTGAGTTGCTGAAAGTTAGAGCTGCAACATATGAATTATGAGGAGGGGAGACACAATTCAGCACACAACAGCAATGATAAACAATAGTGCCCCATCCTTTCCAGTTACCTTGGGGATGATACTTTTTTCTCTATAAGATACAGAAATTACAGGCTTATTGATTAATCTGATATGTTTTTAGTACTAATTTAAATTTATATTTGGGGGGATATGGGGGATTAAGAATATCTCCCAGCAAATTCCCTTTCTGTTAATCTCCCCCAGCTTGCAGTGACAGGGACGTTACTCTGGAAAGAGATGTACCTTAGGCTTTACCTATAACTGGGCACTGTCATGGCCGACTGTTTTCTCACCCAGTCAGACCCTCCAACAAATGCCATTTTGTTTGTAGTAGCAGGAAGAAATGGAAGGAAAGAAGGAAGAACTGAGGGAAAGGAGAAAAGGGTCCCTTTTTTCCCACAAGTAGGAACATAATGCCAGAGTGCCCTTCCCGACTCATTTCTGACCCACAGAGACTGCTGCAGCATCTCTGACCACAACTGTGTAACACCTAAAACAAGGGAGCCCATTCTGAATACTGTGGTGATAATTAGAAAGAAGGCATGGAATTTTCCAAGACATTAACATTGGCAAAATGGTTCTGAGTGTGCTTTGTGTAAAAGTAATATTTGCAAAACACATCTGTCTGTTGAATATTAGAGTCAAAACACGTGGCAAACATTTTCATGGTATTCCACCAGGGGGTGCTCCCCCCAATAGAAAGAAGCAAGAAAACTTGAAAATATGACTATTTGAACAGCCCCAAAGAAAACATTTGTTTCTGCCAAAATCATGAAAACAAACATTTTTTTTCTTTGGGAAACAAACATATTGGCTCATAAAATGAGGTTTGAAAAAAAAACAGCTTCTATAACATATATATGTACATATTTTAAACTTGCCTGAAGGAAGATAAAACAGTGCATTGACTGATGATAGGTTTGATTATTTAGAAACTAAGAAATAGATTCCCAGAGAGAGTTCTCAGATCATTTCCAGCTTAAGAACTTTTAGAACGTTAAATGCAAATGAAGAGAGAGAAGCCAATTCTCCTGACCCCTGTAAAGCTCTTAAAAACATGCACTCCTCATAATATAGACAGCCGAAACCCCTTAGAAACTATATAGGAGTTACTATTAAGAAGCAAGCATTCAAGGATCTGATATGGCCCAGACTCTATGAAGTGCCAGTTTGATAAGCCATGTATCTGAGGTCCTCCTCTTGAGAGTTTTTATGCAAATCACTAGAAGCCCTACTTTTAATTTACCAAGAACTAAGTTGTATGGTGTGAAGCTCAAGGAATTTACTCGAGACTCAAATATTTTAGAAATTTTTTCTTTCAAATATACTTAGATTTTACATTATGAACCTTGCTTTTATACAAATCACTTTTTTGTTATTTGAGGAACAAGATAACATTTTCTTGGCAGGATTACTATAGTCCCCCCAACAAGCTCTACCAAAGAAGATAATAGAACTTATTGAGCTTAAATGAATTATAGGAAAGTTCCTGAAAAGTCCAAGGTAAATGTGAAGAGAACCCGATTCTCTTAACCTCACCCAACCCAGCACTTGATTCTCCCTTGTTTCCTGGTTTTCATACACACACTGGGAAAGGAAAAGGAAGAAGAAACAAGGATGTCGTTATGGCTGAAGGAGCTTTGAGCTTCCTTTGCTCTTTATCGCAAAATGCATTGAATATTTCCCTCATTTCTCGTAAGCCTGTTACATTTAATCCTACTGCTTATTGATATAAGAAAACTAAAACCATCTCTACGTTTGCAAAAGCGTATTTTACAATTTCTAGAACATTCACAGCAGCCACAATGCCACAGTGAATTGCCTCAAAAAAACAATGCTGATTTCTGTTTTGGGCACATTATTTCAGAAAACAACTCACCAGCAAGATAGCAATTCTACACAGAATCGTTTATATCATTACGTGGAAGATTATAACCCTAAAAAATATTCCCCAATTTGTTTCTTTACTGAATTCTGCTTTCTAAAATCAAGACAAACAAATAGGTATCTAAGAGAATTAGAGTGGTAAGAGTGTGAGGCTTAATTCCATATTGCACGTGCATGATGCTCTGTTTTTTATAGCTCCTGCTTAAACAAGCTTGAAAATAAAGCCATGGATCGATGGCCTGAGATGTATCATTACGGAGAATGCAACCCTGGGATTAAGTTAACCAGCCATTCTTCCATGCCGTGAACAAAGCTTGTCCTGGGAATCTGAGACATATGTTGTGGCCTGGTATGGCCCTTCTATTGCTTGCACCCTGCTCTGTGGGCTATATCACCATGAGTCAGTGGGCTTGGCACAGAAAGGCACATTCCAGCTACAGACCGAGGAAGAAGAAAAACTTCACACAGAGAGAAGAAATGGCAGAAACTTTATTGCAGTAGGAAGAAAAATAGGAAGTAAGAGTTTTAAGTAATATTACATAGTCAACTAATGTTAATAACATCAGCAGCTCTCTTTGAATGACAACTATGTACCAGGCTCCTTTTATACATTATTTTTGACCCTCATGTAACCTTTATAAGTATTCACTCCATTTTGACAGATGATAACTGATGGCCTCAGGTTCTGTAACTTGTCCTAGAATCATGCAGCTAGTATGTGGCTGAATTTTATTTGAACCCAGGCTTCTCTGCCTTCAAAGCCCGTGTCAAGTATGTGTTATGTGGCACCATCATACAATTTTATGTTTTCTTGCAAGAGCAGCATTTCAATGAGTGGCTCAGTCACTTATTCTTTGTGTAACTCTAGGCAAGTTCACCTAACATCTCTTGGTGCTTGTTTTCTTATTTGTAAAATGGGGACAATAATATTACCTAGGGCATAGAGTTATGGTAAGAGTTAATGATTAAATATATATGAAGCACTTTTGAGAGTGCTTAGAACACACTAAGCACTAAATGAAACTTAGCTATTATAGTAATACTATTGTTGAAATTGAACATTAGTGAAAAGAGCTTCCCAGAGAATACTTCCAAAAGGGGTAATAACGTCTGAATTATAAGCTTCCGGAGAGCAGGTATAATCCTCTCGTGTATATGCTTATATGGGGAGGACAGTATAAAGAACGTGGGAGCACATCATTTACTCTAAACAGGCAGTTAACTGGATCAAGATAAAAAGAAATTTCAGGGATGCAGCTCTGATCTTCCAGGAATTTGGCCAAGTGTGTGCTGAGGTTTATTAAATGTTTTACTAACACGTGAGTTCTTGCCTTTTTTTCTGGCGGGACCTAATATATAGGCATCTTTTATTCTGAACCTAGGCAAGGGGAAGGAGAAAACCTCATGGCAAAATGGTGAGGAATTGTGAGACAGAAGTGTCATGGTCAGTCAATAGAAAAGAAAGAAAAAAGAAAAAAATGTTAGTACTATCATTTATTTATAATGTAAGTTTTGAGAAACTTCTCACAATTCATGTTGAGAGAAAAACACCTACCCTCTGACTTATCCATCTTTACTGCCACCCTTGCTCCCTGAACTCTGGTTCTTTGTTTACTCAAAAGGCAGCTGGCTTGACTAGCTTTCCTGATGTTTTCTTTTGAAAATAATAAAAGAAAAGAAAAATAAAGCAAAAGCCATTCTCCCAAGGCGATATCGGGAAGTGTCACTTACCTATCGCCTTTCTTCCTTTCTCTCTGATGTTTAAGTGGTGATGCTCAGGACTGGTAATGCTCCAGGAAGTGACCCTGCCCTCAGGCCCTCTCCCCTGCCTCAGGCAGCCTGACTCAGAAACTGTCCCCTAATCACCTCATCCTCAGTCACAGCTGAGCTCCCTGGTCACCTCTTTCCAGGACCCACAATTCAACCTTATCCTGCAGCAGCCATGACATTCTAGAAACCTCACACTCCTGCCTATGTGCGTGCCCTGCAATATTTTTTGCTATCCTGTAAGGAGACCACACGCAGGCTTATCTCTGAGATGCTCTAAATCTAACTCAATCTAGTCAGGATTCCAGTCGTCCCTCCTGATAGGTCTATATCACTGCAAGTGTGGATGAAAAACACAGACTGTCAGAACTGAGAGGATGTCTCTGTATCATCTTGTCTCACAGTCTTAAATTTCAGATGAGGAAACAGATGCCCACATCACTGTTAGTGGATGACTCCAAACAAGAATCCAGGCTTTGAAACATGATGCACTGTTTTTTCCTCTGTGTTACATGACACGACTCCAGGTTAATACTCTCTGATTTGTTTTGATACCTAGGACATGTTGCTGTCTGATGTATCTCATTTTTAATCCACAAATAATCACTGATTTTTCTCTCTCCTCAGTTTACCAGTGGGTAGACATGGGTGGAAATTTATGTGGTATAATTTCATAAATTCTAGGAAATTCCTGGTGAATATATTTCCAGGGAATGGCAAATTCTTGGGATTCCCTCCCCATCAACAAAAATGAGTCTTTCTAATATGTTCTTTACAAGCTGGATATTTGTAACTGTATGAACTATCATAGAAGTTTACATTTTAGGAATATAATCAAATAATAGAATAAGATGTTAATTAAATATTTTTTATTAAATAACTTTAGAAGTATAAATAATATCACCAGTAAATTTTTAGATTTGTTGGGAAACTGTGACAGTAAATTGTGTTCAGGTTCTCACAATGAAGTAATAGAGAAACCAAATATTCCTGGGTAGATACCCCTAACCTCTAAATTTATAGGATAATGATATGACAGTATATTTGCTATATAATGTACTTATTTAAAATAGAACAATTAAAGGAAAACAACTATAGCTTCAAGTGATGGTTCCCACATTTTAGACTGCATGAGAATAACTAGAATGATGCTGTTTAAACTCAGATTCTGTTCCCTGGTCTAGACCTACTAAATTATCATTATTGGTGGTGGGGCTCTGAAATCTGCATTTTAAACAACTATTGCATTTGATTCTGCTACAGCAGGACTGCACTTTGATGAAATTTGGTTTAAGTATTTATTTGCTCAATGGCAAAGGTTTTCAAAGAAAACTGTCTATTCAACCATGCCTACATCAATTAATAACCATTACAGATTTTTGTTTTAAAAATGCCAAAAATAGTATTCAAGTTCTTGCTTGAGAATTCTAAAATTTTTATTGGTCACAGAGTGCAGATTAAAGATTGAAGGGTTGAGGCTCAGACTATGACCAGATCAACTGGGACCAGATCATCCCAACCATGTTTGCGATGGTAGGGATGATAACGTTCTAAGTCTGGGACATGCAGGCAGTGGGAATTGAGAGGTCTACTTCCTTAGGCTATGATCTGCTCCCCTTGAGGTCTAGCTCTGTAACTGACTAGCACACGTTTACCTGCATAATTCCACTCACATTGTGCTGCTGGATAGAGAATTGTGATCATCCTGTTAGTGGGGAACTCCAGCAGGGCTAGAGCCTAAATATATCTATCTTGTGCTATCCAATATAAACATAATACAATTTCACATATGTAATTTTAAATTTTCTAGAAGTCACATTTTTAAAGAAGCAGCAAAATGGGTGAAATGAATTTCATAAGATGTTTTAATTATGTATATAAACTATTATCCTTTCAACATGCAATAAACATGAATACTAATGAGATATTTTACATGTTTTTAATAACAAGTCATCAAGAGCCAGTGTGTATTTTATACTGACAGCACAACTTAGTTTGGGCTAGTCACAAATGCTACATAGCCACATGTGACTAGTAGCTACTATATTAACCAGCAAAGTTCTAAATGATTAAAATTAGTTTTAATAATTGTTTTAGAAACACTGAACAAACACTTGTGCCAAATGCAACTTTGGGCATTAAAAATACATTGTTTATTAATCACTAATGTAGAAAATTTCCTGCCAGATTACTGACGTTATTATGGTGGCTCCCAATTGTGCTTCCATTTTATTTACATGAAGTTGTCCAAAACATATGCTAAAGACAGTGGAAGGAAGAAAAGAAAGAAGGAAGGAAGGCCAGCCACTTAATTTAGAATAGTTTTTGTTTACTTTTATTTTTATTTGTTTATTTTTTTGTGACAGAGACTCGCTCTTGTTGCCAGGCTGGAGTGCAGTGGCACAATCTGGGCTCACTGCAGCCTCTGCCTCCCAGGTTCATGCGATTCTCCTGCCTCAGCCTCCCAAGTAGCTAGGACTACAGACGCGTGCCACCATGACCAGCTAACTTTTGTATTTTTAGTAGAGACGGGGTTTCACCATGTTGGCCAGGATAGTCTCAATCTCTTGACCTCGTGATCCGCCCACCTCGGCCTCTCAAAATACTGGGATTACAGGCGTGAACCACTGCACCCGGCCTAGAATGGTTTTTAAATATCAAAGTGGCTTTCTTACTTCAGGTGGTAACTACATAAATCAGTAAGCCTTTGTCGGGCTCAATAGTTCTCATTGAAAATCTTTGGTTCCTTTACTTACATAAAAACCATCAGAATCCCATGGGAATTGGCTTAAAAATTTTACAGTGGAGTCTGAACAGAGAAGCACGCATACTGTTTTCCATGAAAGGGTGTTGAGATAGTAAGGAAAGGGCGATTTCTGGAGATCAGATTGCTAGAGAGCTAATCAGACTTTCCATGGGTTGAGACAGCAGGCAATGTATTGTGATGCTTCTCGGCTCATGGGAATAGCAGGCTGTGACAAGAACAGTTTGCCTCAGACATTATAGTTTCCTTTTGGATTTTAATAACAACAACAATAATAATGTTTATTTCTGCAGAAAAGAGCAAAAACTTAAGTATTCTGGAATATTGACCCCGGCACACATGACCACTACTAATTGAAGAGCCTCCACTGGACTCATCTTAAGAAAATGCCGAGGAGTCATTTCAAATCTGCTCTTGGCTGCTGTTGTCCTAACAAAGGCAGCATGCCAGGGGGAATAATATGGAGGAAGAAATACCTTTTATTTTCTCTTTAAGGAGGGAAGGGGTGGGAAATACAATAACTAAATGCAGTACTTAGCCACTCCAGGACTGCTTTAGCTGCCTTTCATTGTTGTTTTACATTCTAGAGAGGAGTGATTTCAAAGAAATCAGATTCTACACCATTAGATCTCTTACAAATTAAAGCCATCACATTAATTGGACTAATTAGGAGTCCACTACAGCCTACTTAATATGGGTTGTTCCACTTGGTCCTATAAAAGGTTATCAGCAGAACCCCCAACAGGGAAGATACCACAAAACTATTTTCTTCATTTGAAAAGGTCTTATCAGTAAAGAGATCTCACCTCTTCCCTGAAGATTTTCTACATTATTCCCATTTCATTCAAATTGCCTTTTAAATTTTATGACTCCTCAGTGACAATTTCATTTACGAATGAATGGCTTTGTGAAGGTTACTGACTAGCCTTGGTACTGCCCTAAACCACTCAAAACAACCATAAAATCAACACTATAAAAAAATCCAGTGTATTGTTCTCCCATATATGGGGAAAGAAATATGTCTTTCTGATCATGTATAGCTTTAGCACATATTATGTGCCAGGCACAGTATGAGGTACCAGAAAGCAAAAATAAACCAAACAGGTACAAGATCTGTTCTCAGGTGCCTTACTGTGTATCTGGAGAGACAGGCATTGAACATAATGCCACAAAAAACATACATTACAACTGTCAAGAATTCTACAAATCAAGTCATATCAAAGATCATAAATGAAGATTCCAATAGATAAATGGACAAAGCAAACCAACTTACCACACGGAAATGCCCTGATTCACCGATAAACCAAATGAAAATTAAGAAATGAGATAAAATATATATATTTTTGCCTATTAAATTGAAAATAATTAAATATTCTTGAGACCTAGCTATCATACCTTTCTGGATGCATTGTAATTTTGTACAACTCCTTTGCAAGCAATTTGGCAATATGTAAAAAAAAAAAAACATAAACCTTGTCACAGTCTCGAATAACTTCTGAGATTCTGTTCCAAAGAAGTAACTCCAAACATGGGGAAGAAAATACAGACATGAAACCATCCAACAATTTTATAATTGTTGGAAATGAGAAATGCTCTAAATGTCAAAAATTGATAAAAGGTTAAGTAAATGTGGAAAACAGTAATTATAAGAGCATAAGGCACTAGGATCAGGCAATGCTAGTTCAAATCCCAGCTCTGCTTTCCAAAACAATTTCCTTGCCTATAAAGTGGTGATAATATACTTTCAAAGAAATGTGTCAAGATTTATGAAGTGCTTATGAAAAACATGATATATTTAGAAAGTCAATTTATAGAAGAATGCTCTCCCTCATTGCCCCCTTAACTAGAATCTGTTCTTTCAGGACAGCTCCAAATACTTGATTTCATTTATATTGCAGAACATCAACAGCAGAAAAGTTAGGGACCAAAACGCTCTAGAGCCTGGTCTAGGTGCTTTATTCCTGTTTTTGCTTTATTTTGTTTCATGTAAATAAAGTATTCCTTAAACTCGTATCAGCTTAACCTATGCAGTGTTTAACATACAAAGGAAAAACCTGACTCATCATGAACACCTCCCTTACCCTTTTCCACAAAAAATGATGCATGAACCTGACATTTGGGTGAGAATTAGCAGAAATCAGAAATATTTGGAAAGCGTTTTCTTCTCTTTGCTCCCATTTGAATGATGGTTGTATACGAACAAAATTCTGGAACAGAACTGAACACTCTGCAAGGTTGACTAGTCCATGCCTTCCTTGCTGCACTATTTCTTCCAATGTTTTGCTTTCATAACTGTACACTAGGATGACTTGCAGAAATTTTATATCAATGCCTCCAACCCTCCCACCGTACCCAGCCCTTAGAGATTTTGATTTCATTGGTCTGCAATAGTGTCTAGGCATCATTATTTTAAGTTTCACAAGTGGTTATGACTGCAACCACATGATAAAGTTACCTTTGCTCCACAACTCCTGAGAAAGGAACAATAAAAGTTTTTTTCATTAGTACACGTAGGAAATACCGAGTGGCTTCTTTTTCCCTTTTGTTTTTAACTGGGAGAGTAAAAGACAGACAGTGATTAGCTTGTTTCTAATATTTCTGCTCATCCAGACAATCTGGACTCAGAAGCTTCATGACAGACTTTTTTCCCCCTTTTGAAGTATCATGCATCATTTTTCTGTTCCCTTCTCAATGAGCTAAATTTTACAATCTGTGACACACTTTTCTCCATTCTTGTCAGATACCTTAGCCTGCAACATTTTCTTTTGTTCTTCTGTCTTCATAGGCATTTCAACATTAGCTCATCATTTTCGGGAAGGAATTGAAAATGTTTTGAATTCTAATTCTCTCCCAGATATGGGATATTGCCATTAAAAGATGCAAACCATTACCCAGAAACTATGACAGTTTGTCCACAAGTTCTTTGCTTATTTGTAGATAAAAGATACTTGATGTCTCTCATATTTTAAGGCATACATTTTGAAAAACTTAGCATACTAATTAAAAAAGCCAGTTATCTCTTACTGGTTCTAGAGTATGCTATGCTTCTTTGTACCGAGTAGATTTTAAAGTCTTGAGGCCTCAACATATTAAAGAGTCATCTTTATTCTCCTAGAGCAGGAAAAATTTCCCCTCATTGAGAAAAGTCATTCAATCAACAATTATTTAGTGAGTGTTACAATGCGATAGGTCCTGTTCCAGATAGTGGGGTACATCGGAAGGCAAGGCAGATGAAGAACTTACTTGGAATGAAACTTATACTTTAGCAAATATTTCTTTTGATTAAATTCAGAGAAGTGGGATTAAGGAAAAATAATTGACTATAAGCAAGTATAAAAATTTCCAGTAGATGATTAGCTATATTATAAAGAAAATGATAAAATATTTTTTAAAGAATAGAAGTCCTAAATATCAGGTGTTCACTGTACAATTCTTGCAACTTTTATGAATGTTTAAAAATGTTTATAATAAAATGTTTAAAAGATGTTCAGAAGAAGAAAAAATATGTCTATCAAAATAAATATTAATATTTTAACTAAATAAATTTAAAGGCAAATTTCAGCCTAGGAAAAACATGTTCAACTAATATAGCTAGGGATTTACTCTCCAAATAAACAGTGTGATTACAAATCACTGAGAAAACACTGGCTTTTTATTATAAAAAGGGGACAAGGAGAAAACACAGAAACAAAGTAAATGACAAAAGAGCAAACTTAATATTAATGAAAAACATACAAATTAAAGCATGAAATTTTCTTTAGGGGTTATTAAACAATAACCTAAAAATTTATTAATGCTTTGATATTGGATATAATGAAATTCCTTCTTGGGTAGGAGGGAAAATGATAGAGTTTAAATTAGCAACATTTCTGAGAAGTAATTGCGAGATATATATCATGAGCTTTAAGAAACATTCCTCCTTTTGACCTAGTGATATCACTTCTAGAAATGACTTCTAAGAAGGTAATTAAAGATGCAATCAAGGTTTTCTGTTGGGAGAGCATTTTAAAACTCCTTATAATAGTAAAACAGAAGAAAACAAAATGTCCAATAATAGAAGAGCACTTAAACAAATCACGCAACTGTTACAGTAAGAAATGTTAAGTATTTATTAGCCATCATTTTTCAAAGACTATTTGAATGAATGTAGAAATGCACATGATATAACATTAGGGAAAGATCACTATGTAATATCTTTCCATTTAAAAAAAGACAAAAATACATATTTCTAGGAAAAAAATGAAACATGTATTTGAAAGCAGCAATAGTGATTTTCATTGGGTGGTTTTCATTTCCCTTTTATTATTTTATGCTCTATAAACATTATGGCTATTTTTTAAAAAGGTCATTTTCAGCAAAACACACACAAACAATTGGCTCAGAAAAGATTATAAAATATTCAGCCTATCTACTTATTAAATGATCACTGCAAATATAATACTTTAATAAAGGTACATGAGCATTTAAGAATGTTGCTGTTCCATGTTTCTACAATTGAGGAGGGTTAGAAAGACGTGAAGAGTCCTCTATTGCAGCCACAAACCAGTATGGAAGTCAGAGATCTGTAATGCAGAGTCAATCCACATAGGCTACCAAGTGGTCTTGTGAAGAGAAGTCTTCTGTTTGCTGGCACAGAGGAACCAAGAGGTACACGAAGGCTCTTACGGCCAGCCCCATGAACCTTTCACACTTTCCCTCAGTTTGCTGGAATTTTAGAGTTTTGAATAAATAAAGCATTGTGGCTCACATTGTAGTGTGCTACATCTATTTTCTTGCAAGTTAGGTATCATGGTCCCCATTTTTTTTTAAAGAGGAAACTGAATTTCCTAGGGATTTGATAACTTTCTCACACCCACCAGTCCATAAATGTCAAAGGTAGGATAAATTTTGGCAGCTGCAAATTTTGTTATTTTTATGCTATTGCAGTTTATCTACAAGGCTACTAACTCAATCAGGGGATAATAATTTAGAAAACAAATGCATTATTCTTTGGCTTACATTTCTCAAACTATGAATGCTTTAAATTATGAAACTGATTATAATTAAGGCAAAATGTTGAGAAAATAATTATATTACATTATTCTGCAAAATGTGCTTTTATCCATTTGGAAAAGCACTACTAATAGTTTAGAGAAAGTTTCATCACCTTGCCTCATGGTTAGAATGATCTAGTGAGCCAGAGTGGGGTGAAAAAGGCTCATTCCCATGTTACTGCTCTAGGGATTTTCCTTCTGAAGATCTGACGGAGATCTGGAATGTGTAGTTTTTACAGCTGCCTCAAATGATTCTTATGCTTGGACTGCTTAGGGAAACTATGTTTCTAGGTCAATTGATTTCAAACTTCAGGGCATATATGTGTCTCCCTTCTAGCTTAAAAATATAGTTTCTTGTTCAGCAAGTCTAGGGTGTGGCCCAGAAATGTGCATACTGCACACACACTTCAGATAATTCCTATAAGGCTGGTCTACAGATTGCTGTTTAAGAAACCTGCTTTATGGTCAGGTGTGGTGGCTCAGGCCTGTAATCCTGGCACTTTAGGAGGCCAAGGCATTTGAGGTCAGGAGTTCGAGACCAGCCTGCCCAACATGGTGAAACCCTATCTCTACTAAAAATACAAAAAAATTAGCTGAACTTGGTGGTGTGTGCCTGTAATCCCATCTACTCCAGAGGCTGGGGCATGAGAATTGCTTGAACCTGGGAGATGGAGGTTGCAGTGAACCGAGATGGCAGCATTGTACTCCAGCCTGGGCAACACAGTGAGACTCTGTCAAAAAAAAAAAAAAAAAGCAACCTCAAACAAAAAAACCTAAAATATGCTTTATTATAATTTTTATAAAGCATTTGCTATATATGATATTGAGGGGAATATAAAAGTAGAAGATGCATCTTTCATGGCTGAAAGGACGTAGCGGAGAGGAAACAAAACAACAACAACAATACCATTTATAAAAATGAAAACAAAAATTGGTTGAAATGGAATTCACAAAGCAGAGGCATGAATAGCTAAAGAATAACCCCCCAAAAGGCATGGCCCTTAACTTGGTTAATGAAGAATGTCTGTGGTTCATGGGGAAATGAGAGACTTCCAAATTGAGGGAAGCAGGAAGAGAAACCAAAGTAGAAAAAAGGCAAGGCAATAGAATGAGATGGAAAATAAAAACTATATTTGGGGAGGAAGCTTGGGCCCTCATGACCACATGGCCTCTGAGCGTCTCGGCTTGACACCTTGAAGGGTTGGCCAGTGGAGAGCCACTGACAGGACATAATGAATGGTGCCCGCCTGTGATAGATAGCAGTATATACATTGACCTTTCAAAGGTTTAACGATCTTTTATAATAAGTTAGGGTTGATGTACATTAGATAGACTGATCGTTGAGTATTTATTCACCCCGACTTTCAGCAGCCTTGGTTGATTGATTATAGCTTTGCCTACCTTCCCAAATTGCTCCCTTCAACATGATGTGCCTAAGCCTCTGTGAAGAAAAAAGAGGAAGCTTTAGTTTGCAAATTTTTAGAATATGGATTAAAACTCAGATTTCAGAGCCAGACCTACATATTTTTCAGAAATCCAAATTTAAGATAATGTCCCCAGACCCATCTTATGTAACTTAAAGTTGAACACTAAGGCTATGTGTTAAAATCAAATTTCTCCCCCATCTATACATGTATTTATTTACACAGGCAAGCAAACAGAAATCCATGGGCAACATTCTAAATCAGTCCTTCTGAGCTACTATGATGAGAAACATTTTCATGAACCTTCTTAGGTCATAATGATACTTTTCTACTTCAGATTATTGCAGGATATTTTGATCTGAGAGCAACTCTTCAAGTCTATATGTGTTTGGGTTTTTTTTTTTTTGTAATTTTTTTCCTATTTTTTTCTCTCTTATTTCCTAAACACTTTTTAAGAGCATAACCATGAACGAATATTTACCAGACTGGACCAGTGGTCATTTTACTCTCCAGTGATGGCCAGTGTTCCTATTTATGAAGGATATTACGGTTTTATCCTGACCTGTGCTGAGAGGCTAAAGAAAAATGATTATCTTTATAATGTTCACTGTGTATAATGGCCTTGCTCATATAACCAGTTACAGATAATTAGCCATGACTGTATTAATTAATCTTTCAAAAAGGTAAGAACTCTAGTATACACATTTATAGAATTAGTAAGATGCATGTTGCTTTTAGCTGAATGGGTCAAATAAGTATGTGTGAAGAAAAGAAACATTTGAGAGCAAAAAGTACTGCACACACTAAGGAATTATTTCTCATTTGGTAATCCAAACTCTGACTCTGTGTGTGTGCATATGTGTGTATGTGTATGTGTGTATGTGTGTGTGTGTGACTTTAGACAACTGAAGACTTAGCGGTAAGAATTATCTGGAGATTCATCATTATCTGCTATCATATTGTGATGTCTTGTTGAATAATAAATGTAAATGCAGTAGAATTTGTTAGAAATGTATTTAACATAAATATAATACAACAGCTAAATAACAAGAGCCTCATAAATATTACTTGGGCACTAAGAAAAGTGAATCCTGGAGTGAAAGGAGAGGAAGATTTGCTGGACCAAGTTTTTACCTTTATAACTTCAACCTGTAGACAGTTGGCATCGGGGCTCACATCTCTAATTCAAATGTTCTGGGAAATTACAAGTATAAATCTCTGCCACAACAAGCAGGAGGGAGGACAAGAGGTCTGCATAACATTCCATTTGGGAAGATAGATAGCTTCAGATTGGAACTGGAATGTTGAAGCAGTCTAAATCAACACACATGTTTCCTTTTGAGTCATAATCAGATAAATGGTAGGTGATGACCACAGGGAGGAAAAAGAAAAGTCCAGAAAATAATGTTTATGAATTTACAATTTTCAGAAAAATAATATGAAATATCTATTGAAATTTGTCCCTTACTAATTTAGCATAAGACATTACTGTCCAGCAGTCAAACCAACGTATGTGAAAATGTTAGGACCTGAAATGCCCATAAAAGCTTTTGAGACTTGTGAAGATGCCATTTGTTGTTCAAACGTGCACCAAAAAAAAAAACAAAAAAAAAAAAAAAAAAAAAACACAAAAGCCTCATCCCAGTGTAAGACCTATGACATGTTCATAATAAACTCTACAGGCCCTGTGAGGCTCTTAGGCAATACAAACACAACTGTTTGAAATGCTTGTTTCTAAACCACTATTTTTGTGTTCATTTACCCAGTACAGATATTATGGCTCATTAAGAACCAAATGGTTTGTGTAGGTGGCCATGTTTTCATGGTCAAAACAGATCATGCAGAGATATAAGTATCCATTTCACTGTTGTTCTCATCCTAGGAATGATGATAGATAGGAATGTATGTAGTTTAACTCAGTATCTATTGAAGAACTGTTTTATATATATCTATATCTATATCTATATCTATATGAGAGATGAAAAGACAGACTCTAGTCTCATTTTAAATGAAGAAACAAGTAGAATTTCACTTTGAATTGTATCATTAGGGAGAAATCTTCCCCAGAAAAATAGTAACCTTAATCCTTAAAGCCAGACCATGCCATTATTGAGATAGCTCCAGTGCCCTTTCTCAAGTCAGCCTGATAGATATGGCCAGGTTAGCAATTCCCCTAAATCACGCACATTTACATAGTTACAGGCATCAATAGTCAGAAAGGCTTCTAACTGGAGGCAGTGGTAGAAATTGAGAATACTTTTATGTGATTCCTGGATTAATGAGAGTTGCAACCTCTGTTGCAATCTAACTGACACCCTTTAACAACTTGGAAGAATGAACCCTGAAAGAAAGCAAAAATGATAAAAGGCAGGGACAATTTTGTGGACAGTTAGACCCTTTTGGGTAAATCTTACAATTGATCGAATGCAAGAGTTAACAGGAAAGATGTGTATTTTTCATATGGCACAAAAATATACTTGATGATTTAATAGATCATCAAAGTAACACTGGGACACACATGAACAATGCACTTGCTTGCCATGGTGATACTATTTATATTGATAGGGATGTCTGAAATGAGATTTTCTGTAGGTGCCTTTGTATATATTGTTTTTTGTTGTTGTTGTTGTTGTTTGTTTAACAAGCATTAACTGGCTGCCTCCACAAAAATACATAGCAACTTTACTCTTCACATCAAGATGAAATTAGCTCCTAGGGGCCAGGAGTGGTATAGCTCACACCTGTAATCCCAACATGTTGGGAGGCTGAGGCCAAGGTGGGAGGATTGCTTGAGGCTAGGAGTTTGAGACCAGCGTGAGCAAGATAGGAAGACCACATCTCTAAAAAAATAAAAATAAATAAATAAATAAAATTCCTGGTGCAGTGGCATGAGCCTATAGTCCTAGGTACTCAGGAGGCTGAGGCAGGAGTATCACCTGGGCCCAGAAGTTCCAGGTTACAGTGAAGTATGATCTTGCCACCAAACTCTAGCCTTGGTGACAGAGCAAGACCTGTCTTACAAAAAAAAAAAAAAGAAAAAAAAAGAGTCAAATGAATACTTTTTGGGGTGAGCATGGGATGGTTTAGTTATTTCCTGAAACTTCAGCTGCTTCACTGGCAGATTCTCTCTTTTTTGCTTTGGTTTAGGATTTTCTCAAAAACAATGATTGAAAAAGAAAGAAAATGAAATGTAAAGAATACTGTTTTGAGACTTAGTAAGACTTCATTTTGCATAGATCAGGGGCTAGGAAAAGGATGTTGGAAGTTTTAAACATACGTATATTCTATTCCCCCTCTCCCTTTTCTTACTAGCAATTTGTATCCCACTTCTCTTCCTAAGTGGATCTTCTGTTAGAAACCTTTAATGACATTCACCAATTTTTTACTCTTCTAGGTTAGAATATTTCAATTATTCATTCTGTAGTTTTAGAACTTTAATACATTTTTCTGCCCTTAATTTAATGTTGACAATATAGTTTATTTTTTAAAAATTATTTTAAAGCAACTATTATTTTACACTTAAGGGTGCTCATTAGGTATTACTTAATCTAGTTCATTTTAATATGTCTGTCTGAGACAGAAAGAGATTAGCACACTAGGCCCTGGACTTTTCCAAGCTTGCTTCCATAAGCCAGCAGAAGAGGTAAAGTAAGGCAATTCTATGCTAAGAGCTCATAGTAATATAGAGGAAGATGTTTTTCCAGCAGCAAATCCAAGCTTTAGGTGTTTGACTCCATCAAAATCTGTTATTTGTTCCTTTAGGAATTTATCTCACTAAAGCATTTATGATCAATTAGTCACTGGCTCTCATATCATTCTTGTAACATGTGGCCTATTTATGGTGCCTAGATTCCTAGAATGTGTCATGTTCTTTCTAGTAGAGCCTTCACACATGACTTTTTTTTGGTCTGGAATGCTATTCCCAGCGTCTCTTCAGGGCATTGAAACTGCTTTTGCAAAGATAATAGCAGTGAGAGGAATTGAACACAGCAGACTCCATGTGGCTTCCATCCTCAGAGGCTGGCTGGGCTTTGCTTCTTCCTAGGCATAAGCTAAGCTAACTATGGGAGGAATTTAGTTGATAGTGTAACATGGAAGCAAGGATAATAATAGTTTCTCCCTAAAACTAAAACCCTCCTTGCTCAGGGACTGAAAACGAATGAAAGGCCATGAGATTAAGATAATTGGAGAATTGGAGGGGCCTGAATTCTGCTAAGATGTAGGCATAATACCTTACTGCTTTGGAGTCATGTGGCCAAAGATCACAAGATTTGTGACTTCCCTAAATGCTCCCACAGATAATATCATTATTATGGAACCTAAGATTAGCCTTTTGAGATTTTTTTTTTTAGGCTTTCTGGCAACCAACTGATGCCAACAGGACTTGTGACTCATGACTCAACTGGTCCTGTGCCCCCTCATCCAGAGGCAGACTCAATGCATGAGGGATGTTTTCCACACACCTATGATTTCATCCCCAACCAATCAGCAACACCCATTCTCTAGCCCACTGCTCTTGAGAAACCCTAAGCTCTCAGCCTTTGGGGAGACTGATTTGAGTGATAACTCCAGTTCTCTCACATGGCAAGCCTCGCATTAATTAAACTCTTTCTTTACTGCAGTACCACAGTCTCAGTGAACTGATTTTGTCTGTGCAGTGGTCAGGTGATTACAGGATCTGTTATAATATTCAAATTCCCACTTAATGATTATCTCCTCCAGCCAGGTCTCCCTTTACTATCTGAGCCAATTAGTGTCTCTCTGCATCTGGGCCAATTAGTGTCTCTCCCCATTATTCTCTATACTAGCATCCTCTTATTAGCTCCATGGCACTCACACACATTTGTTATTATGCATCTTTAAATTTGTTTTGAATTTTTCATTTGTATGTCCCTCCCCTCCCTATTCCTTGCCTGGAGCATAGTAGCTGCTTGATATACTTTGTTCTGTAAACAAAAGAACAAAGAAGCTCATTCCTTAACATGCACCACTCTTTCACTAATAACTTTAGTTCTCTCCAGCAGGTAGCCTCAAAAGAATAAAATTAAAATTTTATGAATCAAAAATAGAAATTATTTACTCTTTAAGCATTTGTATGTTATAGTAAAAGTAATAATGAGGATGAAGACTCGTACTTAGAAGTGTTTACTGTGTGTCAGGATGTGCTGCATAGTTTATTTTATTGAATTCTCATTAACAACAACAAAATGAAGAAGAAAGCAAAAGTGAAGCTTTTGAAGCTTAAGCTGCCAGGTCCTTGCTTGGACAGCCTCCTTCCAAACCCCAGAAAGAGAGGTTTCTGAGCTGTGCGCCTGTGGGCACTTTGTATGTATGCTTTTTTTTTTTTTTTTTTTTAGACGGAGTCTCTCTCTGTTGCCCAGGCTGGAGTGCAGTGGCGCGACCTCAGCTCACTGCAAGCTCTGCCTCCCGGGTTCACGCCGTTCTTCTGCCTCAGCCTCCCGAGTAGCTGGGACTACAGGCACCCACCACCACGCCCGGCTAATTTTTTGTATTTTTAGTAGAGACGGGGTTTCACTGTGTTAGCCAGGATGGCCTCGATCTCCTGACCTCGTGATCCACCCACCTCGGCCTCCCAAAGTGCTGGGATTACAGGCGTGAGCCACCACGCCTGGCTGTATGTATGCTTATTTTTTTATTTATTTTTATTTTTTAATAAAGAGACACCCTTCCCTATTATGCAATCTAATCTTCAGACTCTATAAAACATGAATTCATTCCTGAAACTATACTTAGAATCCCTGTTTTACAGATGAAGAAACTGAAACATTGAATTCAAGTTAACAAGAACTAGGAACAGATGAAGAAATGTTCTGGACCCTGATCATGTAACCCTAGAAATTATGATTTTAACCATTACATTGCATGGCAGTGTGAACCAAATATAAGATTCTAATACCCCCCAGTCAACTGAAAGAACCCATCTTGGCCAAGGGGATCCCAAAGAAACATGAAAAACTGGTTCAGGCCATGATGTGAAGGGGGGCAATGGACCTGCCTCACTCTATTCTCCTCCTTTTGGAGTTTGGGCACAACTGACCAGATTTAACATTAAAATAGAGATCATAAGAGACAAAACAGATTCTTTGTAGTGATAAGATACTCAGCTCTAACCTGACTCTGGTATAGCATCACATGACGGAAAGCAGGCCCTGAAGGAAATCAAAGTATTTTACCTTAAAATATATTTTCTTTGACAGATTTTGAAATGGCCCTGCAAAGCCATCTCTTGGGGAAATGTGGGGGTTTGGGGTTGTGAAGGAGGCAGTACAAGCAAGGACCTGGCAGCTTAAGCTTCAAAAGCTTCACTTCTGCTTTCTTCTTCATTTTGTTGTTGTTAATGAGAATTCAATAAAATAAACTAACTAGGACATCCTGACACATAGTAAACTTTCCTTTCCTTGGTAGGTCTTTTCCAGAGAGTCTGACATCTTTTAAGGTCAGGTAAGAGACATTTACCATCTATTATCTGTAAAGCCTGTTAATTAGAGGCTTCTTCTATATAACAAGAACCTTGGCTTTCACAATCACCCGTATTTTAACTCAAGCATTTCTTTATGATGACTTCAACTCTTCCTGCAAAGCATAACTCTTTCTACCAATTGCCAATCAGGAAATCTTTGAAGCCACCTATGACCTGGAAGCTCCTTCCCACCACCCCCAGCTTCTAGGTATTCTGCCATTCTGGGCTGAACCAATATATACATATACATATTGACTTATGTCTTTGCCTGTAACTTGTGTCTCTCTAAAATGTGTAAAACCAAGCTGTAACCCAACCACCTGGGCACATGTTCTCAGGACCTCCCTAGGCTGTGTCATGAGCCATGGTCACTCAAATATGAGGCTCAGAATAAACTTGTTTAAATGTTTTACCAGGTTTGGCATTTTTTGTCAACAGTAGATAGCAAATAGATGCACATTAGTAAGATATAAGGACTATGAAGGCATGGCTAATATTTCTACTGATAAGACTCTTCCTTGAAAGAAAAAAGAGCTTAGTAATATGGCAGAATGAATTTTAAACACTTAGAATCAACAATTGATGTGCCCTTACTATATTTTCCCAATACTGGCCTCTATTTCCTGGGATCCCCTAGCTCAGAACTTTGACTCACATTGCTACAGCTTGGCTTTCTTTCATTTAACAGTAAGTCAGCTCCTTGGTTACTTTCCTAAGCTACCAAAAAGCGCAGATAGTTCTGCTTCCTATTACCTTAATTCTTCAACTTCTTCACATTCCTATAAAGCTAGGTGATGATATCCTAGGCAAATGTTCTGTTGTACAGCAACCTTTGTGAGTTCATTGTTGGATTGCATGGTAGGGAGAAACAAACAAAAACCCCACAAAAACAAACAGTGTATCATATGACAAGCTGCCCTCCAAAATGTTTTACCTTTTCTCCAGCAGTAAAATGGGGATAATACCCATACACATCTACCACACTGGATATTTTCAGATAATGACACAATAAATATACAGGCATTTTGGAATTAGGAGAGATATATAAACACAAAAATCATTATACCACCAGCAAGTGATTGGATGTGCATTAGAAATATCCACATCTTTCTCAAGATAGTAGATATCGGCTATAGTAAATGAGCTTAGTTGGTTAGACCAGCTGACCTTCTAAAAGGTAATAGTGAGAGGAAAAAAATCAAGAGTTCGGTATACTCAGTTTAGATTAATAGAGATACTTATTATATTTACCTCATAAATATTAATGTATTCAAATTAAATAGGTAACCCCAGCAAACTACTTAAAACACTGATACAGGCTAAAAAGATAGGCAAAAATCTGTGTATAGTTTGCTCACTGTTCATCCTCACTTCTGTGAAAGAGACCCAGAGTCTCATTCGTTAATTCTTCCATTCATCCAACAACTGTATTTCTGGAGCTAGTGCTAGGTGACAGACTTTCTGCCTTGTCCCAAGGACAGAGTACTGGGCAAAAATAGCCACATTCCTTCTATCATGAAAAGTGTAGTCCAAGAGGAAAGCAGACATTAATTAAATAATCACACTAATGAATTCATTATTTCAAATGGAGTTACATGCTTTCAAAAAGAGGGCAATGTAGTACTGTAAGAATTCATAGCACGGTACATAATATGGAGGTTGGGAAAGATTTCCCTAAGGAAATGAATGATCAAATGCTAATGAACAGGACTTCGCTAGGGAAAGGAGGTGGGCAGGAAGCATTCTAAGCAGGGGAAACAGCATGGACAATGTGGGACATTTCTGTCACAGAAAGATGCCTGGCATTCCTGCCATCCTGAGAGCCAGAGGGTATGTGGGTTAAGATAAGAATGAAGAGAGAGGCAGAGTCAGACTATAAAGTACCACCAAGGCTCCTCCAAAGATTTTAGTCTTTATCATAAGACTAATGGAAAGCCATTGAATGATTTAAGGGTGTGGTGGTGGTAGGATGAAGGAGTAATCATTTCGTTTGTGATTTAAAATATCTTCTGATTTAGTGGACAAGATGAATTAGATTGAGCCCAGTAGACAAAAGGAGACCAAAAAGAAGACTATCGTAGGCAAGAGATGACAGTATCTTCGACTAAGATATTGGCAGGTCATATGGAGAGAAGTTGCCAGACTCCAGGGTCACCTGTGATTTGGTGCTGCATGGAGGGTGGAGATTGCAGGAGAAGGATTAGGGATGCTTCCCAGACCTCAAACACCTCAAGTCCACCGAGGAACTTATATGACACTATTCTACAAAGAGTGAACATTTATGGATGGACCTGATTTCTTTGCTACCTTGCTTTATTGATTTAATACATAGTAGTGTGCTCTTTCTATGCCAATGTTTGTGCCAGTTAAACCAACTCAGCAGTTGGTCCTAGCCTATCAACTGCTAAGTTCCACTGGGCCATCATCTTTAAAGTAGTCTCATCTATGTTCCAAGGAAGGTGTACAGAATTCTATTTTGGGTGCACAAGATAGCTATCTATTTCTTCTACTGGTGGAACGCTTTATTTTCAAAGCAAGCCTTATATCTGTTATGCTTTTTACTGAAAAAACTAAATATGTTCTGATTTTGTAGAAAACTCAGCTACTATTATTGTCTTCAGAAAAGTGCCCAATTTTTGTGGTTTATTTCACAGAGAGGCATAGCTGGATGTCGGAAATGATTATAGAGGTGTAATGTGCCCACTATCAAATTCCAGTCTCAGGCAGTATTCAAGACACCCACAAAACAACAGGACTTTTTTATCACTACGCCTGATAAGGAAGCAAATTCCCATTTAGGTCTACAAATGCAGGCGCTCATTGTCTGGTTTTGGTTATTTCTAGAAACATAAATAACCATATCTACTGGGATATTCATGCTTTGCTATATCACATGCTTTGCCAGTGTTTTGTGTTGACAGCTAAAGATACACAGTTGGCCATTTGTACCAGACAATTCCTCCTGAATAAGAGTATCCGTTCCTGATATCCAACGTTAAGGGACTCTAGTAAGTACAAACTAACCATAGGCTACCAATAACAACAAACCAAGTTGTCAAAGACTAGAGTACATTTTATCTTTCCTTGAGATTTACAAATGCCTTTCATAAGAAAAAATATTTTCGTTTAAAAACCTGGATTTATAAATGGCGATTTTGGAGGACATTTGTATGTGTCTCAAAAAAACACAGCTGGTATATGCTGAAATAAATGTCAAAATACATTATTTTGTTGCTGTTTTAGCATAAAATTATGTTTTTTATCTGACAGACCTAACTTCTCATTATAAATGGAAGATGGTGTGATTCCAGATATTTGTTAGATACAATTCAACAAATACTCAACATTATTTATGTTATTCAGGGAAGGAGATCTAGGAAAGAACTTTAAAAGGAGTTAGGCCTTTGTATTGAAAGAGCTACAGTCTAAATGAGAATCACTTAAGTAGCAGTTAGATTAATGTTAAGGACAAACTTCAATTCTCTGGCCTCAAAATGAAATATTCTCAAAAGTAAGGCTAATTAAAATGATTCAAATATCTAAGAAGTAAGATTTATTTATGTATGCATTAAGGTTTTTGTGTGTGTATTTTTGGGATATTTTAAAATAAATATGCATTTCCAATGGTGGGAGTTAATTGCAACTAGTATAAACTCCCATTTTAACGAATATTGTTCAATAACCATTTCTGTGTAACAATATTGTAATATCCAGTACAATTTCCAACAGTTGGCTCTTATTAACATTACTATATCTGTCAGATATAGATATAATAAAATCTGTTTAGATTGAATCCTGTAACAAATGTTTTCATAAGTCACTGTATGATTAGCAATTATCTTTTATTTGAAGATTTGTACAATATTGAATATTCCCAATGAAACTAGATTTTTGCTAAGTGACATTTTGATGATATTCTGGTACCTACTTGATCTGTTTTTATCTGTTGACATTCCTTTCTTTAAAAAAAAGATATCAATTTTATCTTGTGTACTTCCCAAACTTTTGGAGTTGTAAGGTGGCCAGGCCTGATCTTTAAGTAAGTATTCATTCCTACTAATGGAATGTGTATTAATTTTCTTGCATAGCGTGATTTGATGTAATTAGTTAAACATGTCAATACATAAGTGGAGTGTCCAGTTAGCTTCAAAATTAGAATAAAGTTGGTATCACCAAAATAAATCACCTATTAAAGAAAATTTTCCACTGTTTCTGAGAGTAGATGATTAGTGAAACACATTTCATCAACATACTGCCAGTTAATTTTTCTTAAAACTTGACAAATAGAAAATAAATCTTTAATTGAAATGGAAAGCAAAGGAACTGAATATGAGCTAGCAAATGCTCTGTTGAATCTTTCTTTAGCTCAAAAAAAAAAAAAAAAAAATCCAAAGACAGAATAGTGACTTTTCACTTTTTATGAAGTTAAGATTTTTTTCTGAATATTATACAATATTCCCTTCTTTGGGATGCCTTCCACTTGTATTCAAATTAAAAATAATGTTAATAATAAATTATTAACATTGGCTGTGATAAGAAAATTACATGATTATCTTTGCCTTGGAGCAATTTATAAATCCATGAAGTAGATTGTCTTGTCAACAGAATAAAAATGATCAGTTAATGTTTTGTCATCACACTTAAGAGACAGAAAACACTTTTCAATTCTAAACACGCTTGAAAATCTCAGTGAAACCGAATAAAACAGTAACACCAATTTGCCATTGAATAGAATTAGATGATAAATAAGTTTGTATTTGGAAATAAGCTTATTTTTTTACATTGTTTGCTGAAAACATCCCAAAGAATGTATTTTGGAAATTTTAATTTTAACTTTAAATATTAATTTTGTTTGTTGTTTTCCTCCATAAGACTCAAAATGAAGTAGCTGAGGTGTTTTAGTTTTTGTTTCCTTTTTATATATTTTTTTATTGTTAGTGTTTTTAACTTAATAGATCCTGCGCCTTCCTGGTCCTTAGAATGTTATTCCTATTAGGCATTTCTGCAATTCTGAAAACTAAATTTCTCACTTTTTGTGTGTTTAATATGTGTGTGTTTGTGTGCATGTGGATACATAGAACAAAAAGCTGAATTATTTGCTTTAGTTTTTTTCAGTTGGAACAAATACTTCATTTTTGCAGACTATATATTTTTAACCACTTTCTTTTGAAAACAATTGAAAAGGGAGGAGTCAACAAATCTAACTCATTAACCAAACAGACCTTAAATGTGGGCAAGTCTAACTGTATCCTTAGTCTGACTCTTCTAACTTCTCATGAAAATATAACTCTAACTGGGGCTACCTGGATGCAACTGCTTTGCTCATTTTATTAGACGAGCATCTCTTGACTTCTATCTTTCCCAGTATTTAACTCAATTCTGATTAGTCCTTCTTCCTTCTCTTAACAATCACTTCTCTTTCATCAGGTTCTGGCACACAATTACATGCACGGTGCCAAAGGAACCATTTTTGGCATTAGCAATAGATATTTCCTGGATTAATCTATTCCGTTTTTAAGATTTAAAAATATATTTGTAACAACTTTGGTCCTGCAGGGGCAGAAACGTGTGATACTTTTTCTCACCCATCGTAAGTGGGTGAATGTTCCTCATCCAACACTCTCATAAACCAAACACAGTTTAACAACAAAAAAGCACAACAAATTTATTAATCAAAATTTTATGTCTCACTAGAGCCTTTAGAAATGAAGACCCAAATTCCAGGGAAAACTGTCCACATTTATGCTTAGATTCTATGAAGAATGGACAGCTATGTAGAAATGTGATTAGATAAAAGGGTATATCTAATGGTAATAAACTAAGAGGGTGAACCCAGCTAGGCCCGTCTGATCAGATTCTTTCTGGCCTCTCTGTAGCACTTCTTCCTTCTGGGTATGAGGCACTGACCACCTGCAATGAGGGTCTTCAAGGGAAAAGGGAGAGAGTTACCTTTCTAGGTTTTATGCCATGCTTTGGGGAAGATGAGTTCTAGCTTCTGTAACCAGCCTTGGAGAAAAGAAATACTGATTTCTATGTTTCACTTCCAGGGAGAGAGAGAGGTAGGAGACATGATTGGAGAAGATCAGAAAGACCTCACTTCTGAGGTCTTCCAGTCTCCTTCAGTTTAAAATACTCAGCATGCCAAAGTATCATACTTTCGGGTAGTGGGTTCTGAGCCCTACGTTTTCTAATGTGTTCTCTTGTACAAACTGCAAATAAACAAACAAATTCCTGAAAGACTAAGATGAAAAATCTGATGTAAGAGAAAGGTATGAAGGAAAGATAAAACTAAGAAAGAGATGATGCAAACAGAAAAATAAAGTATAATCTCAGTGTGATCAAACATTATTAAATGAGGAACAATTTTTAAGCCAGAAAGAATATTAGTCTACCTATTAGAAACCTATTTTTGTATGTTTTAATATAAATTAAAAACATTAATACTGTGAATTTACAATATCTGCTTTGAGTGTTTTTTTTTAAATTGTTTATTACTGAAGAGAATAAACCTCATATAACAAGAAGGAAATAGGTAGGGAGGTATTCAGAAAATAAATAAGAGGAAAATTATTTCCCCTCTATTGTGCCTTTTTTAATCCTCTCATTTATGTGTAAACTACTCCCAAGTCTTTGAGGAGTAACATCTTCTCAGACACGAAGGATGTATATGCCCAAACCTTGCACCTAGGCAATCAAGGGATGAGGCTCCAGTACCAGCAGAGAATTCCTCTTCCTGGACAGTACCCCTAAGCTAGCCAACATCTGCATGATATATGATTATACTCTTCAGCCTTCTTCTACTTCTCAAGCTCCTTGTTAGTGATCTTGAACTCAGTGTCTTTATATTTCACCATCAACTAATGCACACTTTTAACAAAATCTGAACTCAGAACTTAATATCTTCTTAATTGATCTGCCAGAAAGTAGTTAAATTTAGTAGATAATTTTCTCCTCTGTCTATTGAAAACCAAACTGTTTGACACATTTTAATGCATTTAAGGAAAGGATAAAATACTTGCAGATACTAAGGGAAACTCATTACTAGGCAACTATCCTAGAACAGCAAACCCATGTATTCTTGATAATTATTTTAAATTACCTAAACTCTCCAATTTTAATAAGATGTTATTAGCATCATCCATTATTTGTTCTTGTCCCTTACAATTTGTTTTACATTAAGAAATAGGCATATTAATATTGATATGGTTTGGCTGTTTCTCCACCCAAATCTCATCTTGAATTGTATGTAGCTCCCATAATTCCCACGTGTTGTGGGAGGGACCCCATGGGAGATAATTGAATCATGGGGGTGGTTTCCCCCATACTGTTCTCCTGGTAGACAATAAGTCTCACCAGATCTGATGGCTTGAAAAGGGATTTCCTGTTTTGCTTGGCTGTCATTCTCTCTTGCCTGCCACTATGTAAGATGTGCCTTTCACCTTCTGCCATGATTGTGAGGCCTCCCCAGCCAAGTGGAACTGTGAGTCCATTAAACCTCTTTTTCTTTATAAATTTCCCAGTCTCAGGTATGTCTTTATCAGCAGCGTGAAAATGGACTAATGCAAATATTAACCTTATGAACAAGCCCATTTTGCAAAACAGACCTGCTGTATGCAATCCATGAAGCAGCTGAATTCAGCAATCACCAGCTAAGTGAGTATATATGCACTTTGGATTTCAAGAGATCAGGGCTAAGTTGCTGATGTGGGCAAGTCACACAGTCAGCTCATAAAGTCTTAATTAAACATGCATTGTACTTTTTACATTCTAGTATACTAAAATCTACAGCATCCTTTAGGAACTTTTAAAATACTCAGCAGAGTCTTAGCACCTCATTTAGCAACCATTGACTTAGGCCAGTGATTTGGATGGATAGTGTTTGGATTCAATCACTTTGATACAAAGAAACAAATAGAAGTCAAGTTAATTATCATATTGCCTTAGTTGGAATGGTTTTTTAATATAGCAAAAGGAGCGGGAACAACCTATGATCAACTCTATTTGTTAGGCTTTCAGATACCATGGCTTTCACATAGTAAACAGTAATTTTGTCACTGGAATCATCTCTGTGCCCAGGAACAATGGCCTCATCATTCATAGCACCCACAACATCTTTCTAAAAGAAGACTCCCTGGAGTGAAAACACTGTCATGGTTTTCATAAAATCCTGTCCAGTAATAGCAGAATGGGTGAGAAACTTATTAATATAACAAGCTGTTAGTTGTGAATTGAATTGAATTATTTACAGGTGTACTGGAAAGTACTTGGTGGTAAGACCAAACAGACCAAGTTCAAGTTCCAGCTCCTCTCCTTCCTAGTTACGTGCTGAGAAAGTTACTGGACATCTATGGCCCTTAGAGTCTTTTTCTCTGTAAGATTGGGTTAATCAGACCTCAGGAATATTGTTAAAGGATTAATATGATGGCAAACAGTCTCAGCAATATCATGGGCACCCAAAATCATAGCTTTTGAGGTTAGCACTATAAGCAGTAAGGGGAAATATTTTAAATTCTATCACAACTTTTTTTGTTAGTCAAAAAAACAAAACGAAACAAAAACAAACCCCACATTCAGCTGTGTACTCAGAGATTTGGTGAGATAAAACAGAAAGTATGCTAATCATTTACACAGTTAAGAACTTGGGGATCATGTACTGTTGGAGGCAAATTAGAGGTTAGTATTACAAACAACCATCTTGATAAATAGAATGTGGGGCTGAAATCAATAAAATAGGATTCAATAAAAACAAATATAAACCGCACAAACAATTGTTCCACGGGGATGGAGATATAAGCTATAATGAAAGATAAATTGACAATAAGTCAACAATACAATGGTGTCATATAAAATCCCAGACACTGCTTTGGGGTATATTAATAGGGAGAACGTGGATAAAATGAGAGGTAATTATTTTGTTCTACAAGCACACTTTAGGCCTCAATTGGATAACTGTGTTTAGTGTTTGTTCCTCAGTTGAAAAAGAATCATAGATAAGTTTAAATCAGTTCAGAAGAGAGCAACAAAAATGATAAAAGCCCTGGAAAATGAGATCTATAAGGAAACATTAAGGGAACCAGGCATGCTCAGACAGAAGGAAAGATAACAGAGAAGCAGAGTAACTATTTACACCTAGGAAAGAGATACTACAAATGAGAGAAGGGAACTGTGATTCCCACTAGACACTTGGAGCTGAGTGGATTGGGCTTGAACTACAATAGTTACAACTTAGTTTAAATATTAAAGACAACTTTCTGAATAAAGAGTAGTTTAACATGGAAATAAGTTACCTTTGGTGATTATGAAACCTAGTTAATAAATCATTTTAAAGTATTAAACTTGGAATTATTATTTTGTAGTTTTAATACAGTGGCAAGGAGATGACTCAGCTCATACCCAGCCCTGTTTATACTAATCACAGCTCTACAAATATGCCTATTTTATGCCTCCCCTGACATAATTATAGATATAATCATCATCAATCTGCTTTTTAAAAAAGGGGTTCTTTATTATTTAAATATGTTATTTTGTTAGATGTTTTGTCGTGATTTTTCTGGTAGAATTACGTCTTTTTCCCTTCAATATTTTTCCATTTTTTTGATTCTTCATATTCTTATTAGAATCAGATATACTTATTTTTGCCATCATAAGTGATAGAAAGCTATAATGATACTAGGTGACATGAATATATTTTCTGACTCAAAAACTGTATGACAAGGCTTGCTTGTATTTTATAACTTCCCGGTTTGGCAGGTTCAGTAAACTAAAGTAGGTAAAGTATTCATTAGGGGCAGACGACGGACTTTTAAAGGCAAGACAATCAATCCTTTTATATTAATCTTGATTCTATTTATGACTGCCATAGAACTAAATAAGCACAGCCATTTATTATGTCAACTTAGACAAGCAAGCTGAGATTCAGTTACCTTTTTTCATAAAAGGAGGATAATACCAGAACTAATAAGAATAAATGAGACTATTTATGTAGAGTTCCTGGTATAGAGTAGGCATTTAATAAACAAATCTTCCCTCTGTTTGCCTTCCTTTAACAGTATCTTAAATGGCACTTCTCTGCACAAACTCAGTAGTAGCCCTCTGTACCCTATATAAATTCAGTCCCAGTGGAGCTGCATTCAAGGCCTCCAGCTGTATTCTTCCTTTCAGGTCTTAGTTCGATTGCTTCTTGGTTGAATAGGAGTTGAATTGCCAGCAGATGGGACCATATGTGAAACTGTAAAAACCTAAAACTATCCAGAGAGCAGGTTATTAAACAATGGTCAACAGGAAAACAGGGAGTTATGTATACAGGTGGCACAGGGGATGCTTAGACACAAAATTTAGAAGTTATTTATAAATTTTTATTTTTTTCTATCACAATGTTTATACACATTCACTTAAAGATATTAACTTCAATATTCCACCTAGTTTTTTTAATGAACATCACAAAGAGTATCAGTGGGACAGGTGCATTTCAGATTGTAAGCTTTATAAGATTTTAGTACCAACATCGCTGTTAGGTAAAATTGGTGTTTGAACTTTATCTTGTAACTCAAATCTCATTTTCTAGCAGATGTTAGCTGACTGCCTCAGTGGCTCTGTTTCCTGTGTTTACAAGGAGCATTTCCTACTCACTGTGACTGCTAAGAAAGGTATCCTGACCCTGAACAGTCTGATAACATAGTATGGGGTCAGTCCTACTCACCTCGAAGGGTAGATTGAAACACCTAGAAGTCAGTTAAGTTATTGGAGAGCTGGGGTTATGTCTTTAAAACAGGAAAAGCATCTTTAGGGGAGATAGGAGAAGCAGGAGGGGAGACAGGGAAGGGGAATAATTAAAACCAGATGGAAAAATAGATCCCTTTCTGCCTGGACAAATGGCAATAGCCTATTTGCTGGTCGTTCTACTTCCACTTCACCCAACTGTATTGAGTCCTTAGCAAAACATCCAGAGTTATTAATCTATCCTTCTGTAGCCCTAATTATTCCACATTTCTCTGTAAACAATTCGAAATTCCTTACTGTAGCCTAAAATTCCTTTATCATTTGGATCCTATACATTCAAATGTATTGAAAACCACTCCCCTCGTTGCTGCCAAAGGTCAGCATATGTTGCCTAAACTTCAATTCCTCAAACACACCAAGCTCTTCCCAGAGACCATGCGCTTTTTAATTTTCATCTGGAATGCTTTCTGCTGGCCTTTGCATGCTATCTCCTTTTTATCATTTAAGACTCAGATTAGACATTACTTTCTGAAGGTATCCTTCTTTTTCTTTTAACCTTCAAGTATGTTTTTTATCTTAATCTCTAGCACAGCGTAAACATGTCTCCCGGCTGGGCGCGGTGGCTCACGCCTGTAATCCCAGCACTCTGGGAGGCCGAGGCGGGTGGATCACGAGGTCAGGAAATCGAGACCATCCTGGCTAACACGGCGAAACCCCGTCTCTACAAAAAATACAAAAAATTAGCAGGGCGTGGTGGCGGGCGCCTGTAATCCCAGCTACTCGGGAGGCTGAGGCAGGAGAATGGCGTGAACCCGGGAGGCGGAGCTTGCAGTGAGCCGAGATCGCGCCACTGGACTCCAGCCTGGGTGACAGAGCGAGACTCCATCTCAAAAAAAAAAAAAAAAAGAGCCTCCCTTCATAGTACTCTTTTTAATTAAGTTAAATATTTATTGATTGGTTTATCTCTTTATCATCTGCCTCTTCAACCAGTTTGTAAACTCTGTAAGAACGAGGCGTATGTCTTTCAGTTGCACCATTACATTCTAAGTGTCTTGCATAGTACCTGGCTATTGATGGAAACATAAAATATATGTCTAGAGGACTGAATGAATCTCTGAAATTCTTATCCTCACACCCAAGCCCTTGGTCTCTGTTCTGTGTGGTATGCCTGAACTAGTATTAATTGGCTATTAAGGCTTTCTTTACTTTTTTTTTGACATTGGGCTTTGTCATTTTTGATTTCATTAGTCTTTCTCTAATACAATTGGCTCAAATTAAGAGTAAGAAACAAACTCGATGTCTCATCTTATTTCAAAAATCCTTCACCCACTAATTAAGTACCTATTTCTTCACTGTAGGGTTTTCAACTTATTTGTGAAGTGGAAGTGACTCACATGACCTAGATTCAATAAATAATTCAAACACTCCATTTAAAAAAAAAATAATACAAGTTACCGGTTGCATCACTTTTCCAAGATTTTTTCTGATGGCTCATCAATTGCAAATGTACAGTAACCATAAGAGATGCAATTTGTTCTGCAGTAAGAAGAAATTCTTACCAGAAACCCTTAAATTCTGCTGAAGGTTATAAAACCATTTCATATCAGTGCTAATAATGAACTGATGCTGTGGAAGCTTCTGGTCCTTATTACTTAGAAAGGTTTATAAAACTTAAAAGGAAAAAATATATTTGCAAATAACTTTATCTGTTTGTTTTCTTATCATTTTCCAGTTCATACATAAACACTTCTTATTCTTATATTATTCAGTCTAAATAGAAATCTGCAGTATAAACAAGCAAAAAACAAGACCAGCAAGATGTTCAGATAATTCTTGGCCTAAGAGGTGGTATGATATGGGTAGCGGTAAATATAAGCATGTTTTACTCATATATAGCATCTGAGAACTAAAATGTGGTAAATAATGAGTATTTGTTAAATAAATAAAATGTCATACATATGACTTACGTAAGTTCCAAATAAAAGTGTATAGCAGAAATTTAACTAGCACTTAGTAAATAATTGAATAATATTTCTTTTGACTATGACTTTTTAAAGTGTGAAATTTAGTATTAATCTTATAAAACATAATCATGGATTTTACTGGAATTTTTATACGCTAAGAGTTTAGTTTGGTTTTAGATCCAGCCTAAATTCCTCTAAGCCTTGAGGTGGTCATTTATGTTAGAATTTTTATCTTCTTATAAAGTATAAAAAGTATTTTTATTGATCCTCTGTGATATCATATTCCTCATTCAATGTGAAAGAGTAAATACTATTTTTGTGACTGAAATATACCATTACTTATACCAAAAAAGCATGATTCTACTCTGTAATTTACTTCTGACATCAAAGCCTGGAATGTTAAATCAGTACTTTTGTTTGAACATGATAAGGGCTTATTGGAGTCTTAAACTCTAGTCACTCTGTATAGATAATTGTGCATTTTCTTAGCCCTGGATTGCGGTAAGCATTTGATGGAATATACAACATGTAATTCAGGGCATTGTATAGTGGTGATTTTCACACCCAACAATAACAGTAATAGGAATATTAGCTTATATTTGCATGTACAAGTATTTTTTACATGTATTCCACATACATACAAAAAAGTTGGCTTAAGTATTCTCTGCATTTTAGAAATGAAGAAACAGAGGAAAAAGAGTTGCTGAGAAATTCTCTCAAATCACATAGCAACATAGTGAAAGTGATTCAACTGTTTTTTTCATACTTAAACCATTATCTCTCATCTGGCATGAAGACAGTTCAATGCCTTATATCCTTTTTTTAAAAATTTATTATTGTGTATAAACTATGCTGCTATAAGAATGATAGAATTGGTAACTTGGCTAAAAAGTATAATATTTAATATTTTATACTCTTTTTATACATCATAGTTTGCAGCAGAACTAGGACTATACTTTCTAGGATTGAGGCTAGCTTGAGTAGGAGAGAACACAAATGCATTTGTAGTCATATAGTAAACCCACTTCATTCAAATGTAAAATAAAATAGAAAAAATAAACAAAATCAATTTATTAAAAATGGATGAGTCTCTATAAACCAACTAATTGAACACAAAAGTCATCATTTGTTTAACATTGCTAGAAATAGGTCTGTTTCCTTCATTCTGATTAGATTCATTGGATTCAAGGTTGAAAAATTTAAGCTAAAATAGCGTTTGCATGAGAAATAGCCAGAAATGAAGAGATGATGATGGCCAATCACCACTGTCAATAATAATCATTCGTATTTATCATTTCTTCACACTCTGTATTAGCAAAGTGCTTTACAAGCAGTTACAACTCTATTTGTCTATAAGAGACCTTGAAAGTCCTCAGTTCTCTCCTCAGTGCATGAGGCATGAGTGGTCACAGTGCTGGGCAGGTGTCAATAACATAGAACTGTTAAGTCCTGAAATGGTTTGGCTGTGTCCCCACCTAAATCTCATCTTGAACTGTAATCCCCATAATCCCCAAGTGTCTAGGGAGCGACCTGGTGGGAGGCGATTGGATCATGGGGGTGGTTTCCCCCGTGCTGTTCTTGTGATAGTGAGCTCTCAGGAGATCTGATTGTTTTATAAGGTAAGAACCCCTTCGCTCCTCATTCTTCTCTCTCCTGCAGCAGCCACGTGAGAAGGTCCAAGCTTGCTTCCCCTTTGCGTTCTGCCATGATTGTAAGTTTACTGAGGCCTCCCCAGCCATGTGGAACTGTGAGTTAATTAAACCTCTTTCGTTTATAAATTACCCAGGCTTGGGTAATATCTTTATAGCAGTGTGAGAACGGACTAATACGAATAGCAATCAGAATGTCAGGACTTTTCACCCATTGCCAAAAAAATACCTTAGAGACTGGGAAGGAAATGAAAAGCCCTAGTAAACGTCATTAAGGCAATGATCTCTGGTGGTGGTGATGAAGAAGACAAAGAAGAATAAGAGGAGAAGGAATAAGAAAAACAAAAAGTGAGACTGCTTTTTTAAAAAATAAAAGCATGGAAGCCAAACAGTTACAGAATAAAGCAATTCAAATGAGAACAAATATCCCATCAAAGGTATGTACCTAATGAAAAAATAGAATCAAGTAGCAACATCCCTCTCACCAAAAAAAAGGCTGGAGAATATATTTGTACAAAAAGTCAGATGATACACAATGCTTTTAAAAAGATATCCTTCTGGCTGGGCACAGTGGCTCATGCCTGTAATCCTATCACTTTGGGAGGCTGAGGCAAAAGGATCCCTTGAGGTCAGGAGTTCAAGACCAGCCTGAGCAACATAGGGAGACCGTGTTTCTACAAATTTTTTTTTTAAAAATTAGCTGGGCATGATGGTGTGCACCTGTAGTCCCAAGCCACCCAGGAGGCTGAGGTGGGTGGATCACTTGAGCCTGGGAGGTCAAGGCTGCAGTGAGCTGCGATCGCAACACGGTACTCCAGGCTAGGCAACAGAGTGAGACACCATCTCTAAAAAAGCAAAACAAAACAAAACAAAAAGAAATCCTTCCAAAGATGGCCAAAAAGTTATTACTTACTTGTGTCCAAGTTTTCAGGAAGCACAGGAGAATCCTTAAAGACAATAATGAGGGACCTATATCTTTCTCTTGTCTAGGGTAATCAACTAGCATTGTCTTCTTAAACAATTACTAAGATCTGTTACAATAAGTTACAATAAAATGTGTTTAAAGTTCACAGGTGTATTATTCCATTCTCATGCTGCTTTGAAAAAATACCCAAGACTGGGTAATTTACAAAGAAAAGAGGTTTAATTGACTTGCAGTTCCTCATGGCTAGGAAGGCCTCAGGAAACTTAAAATCATGGAGGAAGGTAAAGGGGAAGAGAGGCACCTTCTCCACAGGGCAGCTGGAAGGAGAAGAGCTGAGTAAAGGGGGAAAAGCCCCTCATAAAACCATCAGATCTTGTGAGAACTCACTCACTATCATGAGAACCACATGAGGGGAACCACCCCCATGATTCAATTACCTCCCATTTGGTCCCTCCTATGAAACATAGGGATTATGGGAACTACAATTCAAGATGAGATCTGGGTGGGCACACAGCCAAACCATTATCAATGGTTCATTTGAAATTTTCTTTCCTCAGTAGGACTTATCTTTTAAAAAACCTCCTACTCTCATATAAATAATAAGAGTATAAAATCATATGAAATTAACTGCTTCCACCATGAACAGATGGAACAGGATCATCTTGGTGAAGTGAACTGGACCATCAAGAACAATTGGGTTCCATTTCTGCTTGGGGCACTTCTTAGTTCTATGACCATCAATAAAAAAACATTTTGGGGACCGGGTACGTTGGCTCATGCCTGTAATCCCAGCACTTTGGGAGGCTGAGGCAGGTGGATCATGAGGTCAGGAGATCAAGACCAACCTGGCTAACCCAGTGAAACCCCATCTCTACTAAAAATACAACAAAGGCGTGGTGGCACATGCCTATAGTCCCAGCTACTTGGGAGGCTGAGGCAGGAGAATCACTTGAACCCAGGAGGCGGAGGTTGCAGTGAGCCGAGATTGTGCCACTGCACTCCAGCCTGGGCGACAGAGCGAAACTGTATCTCAAAAAAAAGAAAACACTTTTGTGTCTCAGTTTGCCCACCTTTAGAACAGATGGCCTCTAAGATTCTTTCTGCTCTGATATGACTTTCTTCTTCTAAAGTCATCCATACTAGTTATCAACCTGCTTTTGTCTTTAGGTGTAAAAAATCTGCATGTTTGTCTTTTCAGTTTAAATCCTATACATTCCACATAACAAGTAAATATTGTAAGTGCACATGTACTTGAACTTATAAAATTCCAAACACTTAATATGCAACTCCAGTTTTGCTTCAAGTGCTACGTGAAATAATTGGAGATAGGACATGACACAGCATGGTATCACATAGCACTGAATCACGTGGTGAGAAAGTTATTCTCTTTTCACATCTCTTCAACCATCTGATTATACCAAGAGGAGTCTAAGTTTGGTGCTAATAAGGCTTTAACACATTTATAAACACTTGGTAAATTTCTCTTTAAAAAGAAAAAAAAACAGTTGCAGTGTAGGACTAAGGCTCAGAGCTTTCAACTGAATCCAAACAGACAATGATACCATTATTTTGTTTTTGCAGTTTTTGTCCTATTTATTTGTAATAAGTGATGCTTATCTTTTATATATAACAGTAATATAATTTTACAATTATGGTAAATATGTTAAAAAGAATGTATTTAAAGGAAAATATTAGTGGAGACAGTGTGTGAAAATGGCAAAAATATGAAAAATATTAAATCTGAGAAAAACTGGGCTAAGCAAAATGTTCCTCAAAATGGCCTGTTGTGTCACCTCCTGCCAAACACGCTGGATATTTTGAAATTCTGCTTTGTAAGTTGAATGAGCACATTCTTTCAGAATCTGAAGTGTTTTAACTCAGTTTGGTTGTGAAGTCATTGATTCAGTGTTAAATAAGCTAAGTTTTTCAGAGCCCATGAAACTTGTAATCTTGTTCTGATGACAACCATTTATATTCTGAAATCTATAACTATATTTCAAATTTTGACAGCTTTATACCACACAATTTCGGCACAACTGTCTCTTCCTTATAATTTCAGAAGCCTTCACAGCCTAGAAAGTTGATATCTGTAAATTACTTTATAATCAGTGGGCTCTGCTAGACATGGAAGAATTATGTAAATTAATAGATCAATAGTAAATAAACTTTCAACGGCTTAAGGTATTTTTACTTATAATAGTCAATTATTTTTAGTAATGGATTAGTTTTAAACATACATTATGTATTACAATTAAGTAATACATCGTCAACTTTTAAAAAATTTTATACTTTTTATTGAAAATGATTATGGCCAAAGTAAAATTGAATAAGACCATATTTATTCAAATATTCTTTAGTATACATATTTCAAAACATCATATGCATTATAAATACATACATTTTTGCTTATCAATTAAACAAATAAATTTCAAAACATTTTAAAGACTGATGCTGTGAATATAGGGATGATGAAAATATAACCTTGCCTTCGTAAGTGTTTACAGTGTAGTGAAGGAACCAGATGAGTAAGAGGTAAGAAAAAGTTTGATAAGTGCTTAGAAGCACCTATTAGGGATATCTAAGTTTGTCCATTAACTACAAGACTCTGAAATACTTTTCATGTACTTAATTTTCATGCTAGGTCAGACTGTGAAGCTTGTAAAAACATAATGATCTGGATATACCCACGCAAACTGTAACTTTCCCAAACAAGTCTGATGTAAACTGAATGGACATTCAGTGTGGCTTATCCTCTACAATATGGGATAGGAAAGGAGACCGTAAGATCACAGATGTGACATTACTACTTTATTTTTATCTTCTTTCCACCACTTTAGAGCTTATAACATGTTTCCACATGTTATTTCATTTCATCCCTGTAATGACCCAGTGAAAGAGATAACACTCCATTTCTCATTTTAAAAATGAGGAAATGAAGTATAATAAAGTTAAGTAAATTGGCCAATATGACATATGTAGAAACTGACAATAGCTGGACTTTAACCTTTCACTATACTGATGCTGATTCTGTTGGTTTGAAATGTCAGGACTAAATAAAGATGCATTTTTTTTTAAAAGAAGAAACTTACACCTCACAAAGACGAATGTTATATCCAAATTCACATTCCTGCATTTTAGAAAAAACACCTGTATTTAGATAAACGTTGGGAGGAATTATCTGGCCTGCTGACTCAACACCTGCATAGAAACAATGTCTTGGAAGGACAGCTGGATGTGACTGGCATCAAAAGACCTGGGTTCTATGTTCTGCCTGGTTGCAAGTTATTTGTGGAAGATTGGGCACAACTGTTGCTTTTCCATTTATATCTATCTATCTATCTATCTATCTATCTATCTATCTATCTATCATCCATCTATCTATCTATCTATCTATCTATCTATCTATCTATCTATCTATCTATCTATCTATGAAGACAGAGTCTCGTTCTGTTGCCCAGGCTGGCGCGATCTAGGCTCAGTGCAACCTCTACCTCCCAGGTGCAAGCAATTCTCATGACTCAGCCTCCCGAGTAGCTGGGACTACAGGAATGCGCCACCATGCTCGGCCGTTGTTTTTTCCTTTTACAGAATATCTATTAGCTTCACTTGCTAGAAGAGGGGAAGGGACACCAGGTGGTGATTGTTAGCTTTTCCTGTAAGACAGAACTGAAGAGCTACACTCCAGGAGGACACAAATAGAGAGATGAATAGTTATAGAAGGTTCTACAACATCTGTTATCCAAAAAGAGACCAGATTCCAGGAATTTAAAAGAACTACTTTGAAAAATTTCTGGAACATTTGTACATCTCTGTAATTGTCAGTTTAATCATCCAGGTCTTTTCTTGGGTAGCTATTGGCAGTAAAACCGTTATGCATAAAAGGGAATAAGTTTGTATTTCAAAAGCAGTAAGGAAATGGAGCTTTCTGTAATACTCAGAAAATTTTGTAACTTTGTATGTTTCTTAACTTTCCCCAATTCAACTGTCTCGATTTTCCTGGTAATGTGCTGCATTCGTTTTTTAGGGCTGCTGTAACAAAGTACCACAGACTGAGTGGCTAAAACAATAGAAACTTACTCTCCCACAGTTTTAGAGGCTCAATGCCCAAGATCAAGGTGGCAGCACGCTTGGTTCCTTCTGAGGGCTGGGAGGGAGAATCTGTTCTATGCCTCTCTTTTTCTTCCTGTGGTTTGCTAACGATCTCTGGTGTGTGCCTTGGCTTGTAGAACATCGCTGTGATCTCTGCCTTCATCTTCACATGGCATTCTCCTTTTGTGTGTTTGTGTCTCCAAACCTTCCCTTTTTATAAGGACACCAATCATGTAGGATTTGAGCCCATTCTAATGACTTTATCTTAATTAATTATATTTATAATGATACTACTTTCAAATAAGGTTATATTCTGAGGTACTGGAGGTTAAGGATTCAACTTACGGATTTTGAGGGGATTATGACAAATCAACCCATAACATATTCACTTAGCTGAGCAAATCACTGCACAGGTACTTGACAAGTTTAACAGTCAGGGTACCACCAGAGAAATTGAACAAGTTGGGGTGTGTGTGTGTGTGTGTGTGTGTGTGTGTGTGTGTGTGCGCGCGCGCGCATGCACGCATGTGTGAGTGAAGAGAGACAGGAGAGTTCGATTTGTTGCAAGGGATCGTAATGTGATTGTGAGGGCTAACTAGGCAAGTCCAAAATCCACAGGGTAGGCCATCAGAAGGACAATTTGGAAAGACTTGGGCAGGAGCTGATGCCACAATCCACAGGGGAGATTTTTTCTTCCTCAGGGAAACATCAGTTCTGTTCTTAAGACTTTTGAACTGATTAGAACAGGCTCACCCAGATCATCCAGGATCAACTCCTTTACATAAAGCCAACTGATTGTAGACATCAAGCATACCTACAAAATACTTTTACAGCAACACCTAGAGTAATGTGTCATTGGATAGTTGATCACTACAGCCTAGCCAAGTTAACACATAAAACCGACCATCACATAAATAACAAGGAAGGGGGCAAGAGGTACTTAATATATTATATCTTGAACCCAAATGAACTAAAGGAAACAATCTTGGGTGTATTATTAAGTATTGCTGGGCTGAGTGGTTCCTGTTTGAGGGGCTAGGTGTGCACAGAGTTTTCCTGCTGCTTTGCCACAGCCCAGCACCATTGGTGTATTTCTCCTTTTACCGCCACCTTAACACAACCTCCTCTCTTCCAGTGTGCATCGTGGAGCTCCAGCTTCATTCTTCCAATTCAATCCTGTGCTCTCTAAAGGAAAAAAAAAATGCCCAAAGCAATTTTCACCCCATCACACACTGGTAATCATTTTATTTTTCTGATTATGTTTCCCTCTCTCTTTCAGCCCTTTGGTAAATTATGCAGGGACCCTTTTTTCTCATTCTCTCTTTTTCTGTCTCTCTGTGTGTCTATGCTAAGTGCCAGCTGTCATTGCTTGGCAGATAATTACCATTTTACAAACAGTATTTAGGGAAATGACATCAGTTTCTGAATGTAGGGCTGTCATAGCTTATTCACGGGGCTTTCCTCTGTTAACCACCTTCTCTGTGTGCAGGCAGGGTGGAATCAGTGGGGATTAAGGGGAGGGGAAAAGGGAAGACTTCTCTGCTCCAAGCTTTTGGAGAACAATTGCATCCCATTTGTCACTGTTAGTCTGACAACCCTTATTTCACTCCTCCCAAATTCCCCTTGCCATATTTTGCTTTTTGTGGATAAATAAATGAATGCTTGCATGAGTTCAGTGGACTAGCTCTCCCATTTGCAGTGTTTAATGCAAAGCTGGTCAGTAGAAAAACAGAAACTGCTGATTTCTGTCCTGGGTGGTAGCATCAGTTGAGTGACGTGGAGCTTGCTCTCTTTTAATGTTCTCGATTGTTCTGTTGAGGGAAAAAATCCTAAAATATTATGAGGTACAAACTAAAATGGTTTAAATTTCTTAAATTAGTTAAATAATTACTGCCTCCCAGTAATGTTGGTGAAGATCCTTTTAAATGCATAACTTCGGGTAGATACAAACAGGCTAAGAAAATGAGAAACACATGTATTAACTTCAGTTTGAGAGTCAACTGGTGTCATGAAAAAGCACTAGATTTCAACTTAGGTAATCTGCATTCTATTCTGAACCCTTAGTTAAGTAAGATAAGTCATTTGGTCTATCCAGCCCTCAGTTTCTCACTATAAAATAATAATGACAACAACAACAACAAACTTTCTATGTGTCAGATGCCGTTCGAAGTACAGATGCTTCTCAACTTACAATGGTGTTACATCCTGATGTAAGTTCAACATGTTGTAAGTTGCAAGTGCATGTAATAGACCTAACATACTGAACATCATATCTGAGCCTCGCCTACCTTAAATATACTCAGATCACATAGCTGGGAGCTGTGGCTCACTGCTGCTGCACAGCATGGCAAGACAGTATTGTACTGCATACTGGTAGTTTAGGAAAAGGTCAAAATTCAAAGTACAGTTTTACTGAATGCATATCACTTTTGCACTATAACCAAGTTGAAAAATCCTAAGTCAAACCATCATAAGTCAGGCCATCTGTACTTTGTTTATGTTAATTAGTTACCTCTCTATAATGTTATGAATATATTCTATTACCCATATTTTACAAGCCAGGAAATGAAAGCACAGAGAGGTTTACTGGGTTAGATGTTAGACAGTCTAGGTTCAGGTCTTTGGCCACAGCAGGGGATGACTAGCTTAGTGTTTTCAACAAGCAGGGAAACTGGTGAGAATGGCATAAGAGATCTTGCATATTAGTCATCTGAGGATCCTATAACATTAGGTAGAATGCCTGTTTCTCCCACCTGGAATCTCTGTGATCCATTCTTGTATTCTTCCCCAAGTGAAGTATCACTAAGAAGGGAAGGCTATATAACTTGGAAATGCTTACCAGGTTGATAACTATTGACCTAGATGGTTCCTGGCCTTCCTGAGACCTAAGGAAAAAGGTTCTATGCTGGCAGCAAAATGGGCTGAATAGCTAATGCTTTGTAAAGTTGAATTACAATTTTTATTGAATCAGAGAAGTGATCTGAATGAACAAGTATTGTGAGTTCAAGTTTGTGGCAAGTCATTTGGTGCATTTCTACAGTAGGAAATCATAAGCGGTTTCTGACTCATTAATTGCCAATTTTCTTACAAAGATCTCTTTAGTAAGAACGGCCCCTTAGTGTATAAAGCTGCAGCCCTGGTGGCCTGGTTCCTCCTCACTATAGCTGAAGATGCTCTTACCATTTTTGATTCTACTGGAATTTCACATTTGCTTTCTTCCCTGCCACAGCTATCCCCTTTCTTCCCTTCCTTTTTCCCCTTTCTTCTCTGTTACTTAAGTGTAGCCAGAATTGCATCAAGGGTAGATGTGTTCCTGTCACTGTAGCTAGAACTGAGAATGAGTTTGATATCGAATAAATACGATACACTTGGCTTTAGGGCTTATTATTTTATAAATATTATAACTTAGTAATACGATATTAGGGAGATAAATCAGATTGTATGGGTACAACTGCAACCCCAAGGAAGCCTCTGGTTTGGTGGACAAAACACACACCTGTGTTTTGTCTTATGTATGTTATGTCTGCATGCATGTGTGTATAAACACCTGTTAAACCTGAGAGACTTCCTTTTAAATGCTGACTCTGTCAATGTTTGGTTATACAACGTTAAGAAAGTCACGTATTTTTAGCAAAAATTAACCTGGCATGGTGGCAGGTACCTGTAATCCCAGCTACTTGGGAGGCAAAGGCAAGAGAATTGCTTGAGCCTGGGAGGCGGAGGTTGCGGTGAGCCGAGATTGCGCCATTGCACTCCAGCCTGGGCAATAGAGTGAGATTCTGTCTCAAAGGAAAAAAAAAAAAAAGAAAGTCATGTAATGTTAAGTTTTCTCATTCATAAAATGGAGATAATAATAATTTCCCTGCAGTACTGTTATGACAAAAAGAGATGATATGCCATACATATGTTGAAATTTAGTGAATAGTAACCATTATTATCAATCATGCTCTTATAAAATTACTTCTATGAGGGACTGTAAAGCCACATTCCAATAAACAACTTCCATGGTATTTGTAACTATTTTATAAAATATTGAGAGTTATTTGTGGATTATTACAAAACATTCTCCTTTATTTAATTTTATATTTATAAGTAAAAGATAAAAGCAGGAAATAAATTACACTTGCCTTAGCAACTAAGCTAAATATAATGATTCAGAGTTTATATATATTCTACGTAAAAATAAGTCACATTTGACATTCTGGTAGAGATTTGGTGAAACAACCAAATAATCATACACAAACATATACAAACACACATACACACATGCATGCAGACATAATATACACAAGACATATACACAAACACACATACACAAACTAGACATAAACATACACAAACACACATACACACATGCATGCAGAGACACACAGATACACACACCCTGTGTTCAAACAAGACTGTCCTAAATCCTTCCATTTATTGCCTATCTTAATGCAACTTTTCTCTGTTCTTAATGTAAAGTTTTCATTTAGCATAACTTTTTTTTTAATCACATCAACTGAAGAGTGATGAGGTTTATAAATTTGGAAAGGAGAGCTTTATTTCTTACAAAGGGTTGCAGCCTGCAGGGTGGCCATTCTCACAGTCATGGAAGCACAGCCTCTAGGCCAGAAGCCAGAAAGAGGCACTTCCCTTTTTTCTTTTTCTTTTCCTTTTTTTTGAGACAGCCTCTTGCTCTGTTTCCCAGGCCAGAGTGCAGTGGCGCAAGGCTTACTGCACTGACTTCCCCTGACTTCCCAGGCTTAGGTGATTCTCACACCTCAGCCTCCCACGGTGCTGGAACTACACGTGCGCACCACCATGCCCAGCTAATTTTTGTATGTTTTGTAGAGACAGGGTCTCACCATGTTGCCCAGGTTGGTATTGAACTCCTGGGCTCAAATGATCTATCCACTCAGGTCTCACAAAGTGCTGGGATTACAGGCGTGAGCCACGGTGCTTAGCTCACTTCCCATTTTTCTATTATATCACAAAAGCAACGAAAATGGCTCCACAACAAACAAACAAACACTCTTAAATATCGTTTGACACTTAGAACCTAGAAAGACAAAGATAGCCCACAAATAGGCTTTTCTTGACTTTTTCCGTATGTCAAGTATGGGTTTATCAGATTAGCTGGTTATATGGAAATGTTGAAATGTGAGACAGTTAAAACAAAAAAAGGCGGGGGGAGGGGAATTGAGCATTGAAAAAAAAGCATTAGCATAGAATACAAACAGCCTCCCTCACACTCATGCCTCGGGTAGTGAGAGAGACTGCGAGCCTGAGTCTAGTGTGTACCCTAAAACTTAAAGTATGATAAAAAAAAGAAAAAATAAAAATAAAAATAAAAAAAAAAGAAAGACATTCATTATCCACTGATTCAAATTTTCTCTTTATAACTTTTCATATGATTAATATATGGTTCAATAACAGAAGGTCACAAGGTGTTTTGGCTAAAAGAAATTCCCTCTGATAAAACAAGGCATTCACATTCTGATGAAATATTTTATTGGGTAGATAAGAGTTTTTACATGAATGCTATGACTACAGGGGGAAAATGAGATATATAAATAAAGTTATTATTTATTTACAGTCCACCTTGTTCTACAGAAGATTTAGAATAAAAACCAAGGTAATTATCTGATTAGGCAAGCAAAAGCAAAAAGTAAATAATCAAAATTTTATGAAACTAAGCTTTATATATATATATATATATATATATAGGCATACATACACACATTAATCTATATATCTATACGCATTTGTATTTTAAACTTAAAATTTTGGGTTTGTATTTCATACACTTAGTTTAGAAGCAATAAAATTTGGTAAGGAAGAACTACTAATGAGATGATAAATTATTCTCTGTGATTTGAAGATTATTTATGTAAAAAGTTGGCAGAGATAATCTTATAGTAGGGTGGGGAAATTTTAGGGTGTAACAACAGTTCGTCTTGGCTGGGCATGGTGGCTCACGCCTGTAGTCCCAGCACTTTGGGAGGCCAAGGCGGGTGGATCAGTTGAGGTCAGGAGTTCAAGACCAGCTTGGCCAACATGATGAAACCCCGTCTCTATTAAAAAAAAAAATAACAAAAAAATTAGCTGGGTGGTAGTGGTGTGCGCCAGTAATCCCAGCTACTTGGGAGGCTGAGATAGGAGAATCGCTTGAGCCTGGGAGGCGGAGGTTGCAGTGAGCCAAGATGGCACCACTGCACTCCAGCCTGGGCGACAGAGTGAGACCCTGTTTCAAAAGAAAAAAAAAAATAGAACATTTCATCTTTTCTTCCTCTTCCTCTCAAGTCCCACAGACATTATGTCCCCACACTCTAGATGCCCACTGCCCAATATGACAGTCACTTGCTACATGTGACTAATGGGCTCTTGAAATGTGATTAGTCCAGCTGAGATGTACTGTAACTGTAAAATGCGTACCATTTCTGCAACTGGTATGAAAATGTAAAATATCTCATTAATGTTTTTGTATTAATTATATATTGAAATAATATTTTATATACACTAAGTAAAATAGGCTTATGAAAATTAACTTACCTGCTTATTTTTACTTTTTAAAAATGTGTTTACTAGGGTCTTAAAAATTACATATGTCCGTCTCATTCATTGCTTGCATTATATTCCAATTGGAGAGTATTGGGCTAGACATGCAGTTCTAAGCATAGAACTCCATGAAAGGTCATAAGCAAATGATGGAGTTAAAGAGAATCAGAACATTCCTGTTGTGGATTTGGTTAGGGCAAGCTTCTAGCTTGGTGGTAGTGTGGAAATAAATTTCCTCACTGTTATCATACAGACCTAATTTAGTGAAAACACACTTTCACCAGCTCCAGGCCCATAGTGAACTACATCGAAGAGGATGAAAGTGAGCCTCGTTCCTTTCCTACTGCACTGGGCATCTCCACAAAGGTGAAAGGAAAGTCCAGCAAGTAATTCCACCTCCAGTTTCTGCTTCCTACGTTAGAGGGTTTTTACTGTGCCGAAATAAGATTATGTTTGTGTGTTATTGTTGTCTTTTTCATGCTAGATGGGGGTTGTCATTCCATTGGGTCAATATCTCTTCAAAGAACTTCTGGCTGCTGAAAGGAGACAGTCCTCCCTATGCATTTGGGACACAATTGCATTATTTAGTGGAGAGGCAAGATAGTTTATTTCCTGTATCAGACCTGCCCTTGCTTGCTGGCTAGGTCACTTAACCTCTCTGAGCCTCAACTTCCTCATGTGTTCCAAACTCTGATATTTGATGATTCCATGAAGCACGTCGGGGCAGTTTTGCGCTCATTTATAACTTACTCTCTGCCTGTACCTATACCTATAACCTAAATTTGCCCACCTACCTATTTTCTGCTTGTTCTACATCTTAAAACCACAAAGACAGTGGGAATCTAATTCATTCAGAGCTTTTATGGTCGAGGAAAACATGTCTAGTAGTCTCTTGTTAGCCCCCAGTTCCCATTCTCCAAACTAGGCCTATACTGGTTGCTATGGCAACACAAGCCCTGGAAACTTGATATGTCTTCTTTAATACATCTTACTTTGAGAAACCTGTAAAAACAATATTTCTATATGATGCCAGCATCCAATTCATTTTAACTTAAGGCTCATGCCAGTTAGAAAAAGAAAGATCCATCAAAATAATATTAAAAATATATATACACACACACAAAAACCTTTAGGAAACAAGGCCCTAGGTACAGTAAAAAGTAAGAAAGGAACAGCTATATTAGAGAGATACCTGCAGAGCTGTCAATCTACAAGTGTTTGGCAGTGGGAAATTTTCTTGGCAAAGAGAAAAATCTCTGAGAGACTTAAAGATTCTATTGAAATTCACACTGTGAATTGCCATTTCCCACAAAGGCCCCTTAAGCTGAGACAGTGAATGAACACAAGTCTCCCTAAATGGGCCAGTGCTGACAGCCTTGGCACCACTCGTCATATTTCAGCTGCCTCTCCTGTCAGCCACTGAGCGTGTGGGATCCTCAAAGGCCTGGTGAGAGTCAGGCAGAAGGTTTTCTCAGGGCCTTGTGAACCCCTGGCTAGGCTACAAGCTAAGATGTTCGCTCAATCAGATTCCCTCTGTGCTTCAGAAACATAATAATAATAAAACAGATTTCAAAATCACTTTAAGATTTAAAATCTAGTATATCTTCCATTTGTGTTCTCTGCACACCTGAAACTCCCTTCCTTTAATCACCTTTCACCAGCATTCAAATACCACTGGTGGATTGACCAGCAAGATTGTTCTTTGCAGCTAATGCCACCTGAGTGGCTTGTTTTTATTGCTTTTCTCATCAACTCTGTATTTTCAACTCTCATCTGATTCCCTTCACTCACACACCCTTTGAGGTTTCATCTTTTGTTGGCTTTGATATATGTCTTTTTACTCCTGTTTGGTTGTTCACAGTGTATTTGAAAGCACTAGATTGAGAACCCAATCAAGAACAGATCTGGGTTCTGTGTCTTGATTTTCTGCTTTCTCTACCCATGACCTTGAAAAAGAGTGCTTTGTTTCTTTCTCCCTCTGCTCAAGATTTAGGAAAGATTAGTGCAATGTAAGTGATTATATCTGAGATGGTAATGAAATTGGGCAGGACTAAGTCTTTGCAGAGAGCCCCCTCATTTGGGATTAGGGGATCTGGTTACTATTGCTAGCCTCAAACCAAAATACAGATACGAAGCAAAAAATGAAGGACGTGCTAGCATTTGAGATAATATAAGAATGAATATATAAACTTTGCAGCTATAATAGAGATTAAATTTAAGGCAGAATTATAAATAATATATATGTGTAGATAGATTTAGATATATATATAATTTGTATAACATTTACATAACATTTTATACATATATTATTGTTAATGCTTTGGTAGTTATTGTTAAAAGGCATTGTTTAAAATAAAGTTATACTTTAAAGCTTCTCACCTGCTTGGCCAGAGTTCTTTTATTGAGGCTGAAAACTAGCAGATACAATAATCCATGGTCCCAGGAAAAGGCAGATATGGCAAGTATCAGGACTTTATAGATCATTAGTCACTTAGCGAGATATTCCCTGCAAACCTCTAAGTCAGTCTCCCTTACACATTTCTAAGCAGCACTCCAGAGCTTCGGATCAGAATGACATCCCTGGCGACAGACATGTCTTATAGGCTCTAGATTATGTCAAGATATCTGTAGCCCACCCAACAGTTGCTGCAGGAATTACTAGCTACCTCCCTCCACAAGAACAAATTACAAACACTCTAGAGACTTAATTTTTTTTTCTGTCATGCTTACTGAAAGGAAAGCAACATCTTGCTCAATATCAATAGTTCCGTGAAAAATATCTCTCTTTGAAGTCATTTTGAAAGTACAGAAGTTAAGTTTGTGTGTATGGCAGACCTAATTATTTCCTTTTGCACTGTGATTGTTGAAGCATCTCATTTTCGGAATAGATATGTCTCTAAACAGTTGTCTCTAAAGTGAGTTTGCCAATCCTATATATGAAATATTATTTTTCCCATTATGTATCATTTAAATTAAGTTTAATTCAGCAAACATTTTCTGAGGGCCTATTATATGCCCAGTACTGTGCTTAATGTATAGGCTTTGGAGATGAATGAGCTGCAGCTGTTGCCTTCAAGAAGCTAGCAATCTAGCTAGTGAATCAGACCTCTCAGAAATTAACTCTGGAAGAATGTGATGCATGCTATAATGGTTGGATGAAAAAAATATAGAAGCAAAAAATATAGAGTAATTAATTCTCCTTGGATGGGTCAGGGAAAGCTTCACAGAAATGAACTGGATCTGGGCTTTGAAAGATGTAAGATTTTTTCAAGAGTGAAGAGTTAGAGGAGTGCGGTCCAGGCAGAAAGACTGCAGATCAGAAGTCACAAAAGTCTCAAAGAAAAACTGTAGAGAGCGTTCATGGAATGGAAAAATTATAAAAAAGAAAAGAAAAAAAATGAAAAAGTGCTGTGTCTGCACTGTATGGTAGAGGATTCATAGAATAGTGGAAAAGTACTAAGTGGCCATATTCTGAGCATCCTTGCTGTGTCCTGTTAGCTGGTACCCAATGAATTTTTTAAGACGTGAGATGTCATATTAGATTGTTTTTAGAAACATAACTCTGATGGCATATGGAGAATGCACCAGATGAGGGAAGAGATTGAAACCAGAGAAACTAATTTGTAGTGATGGTGTGGATCTAAGCTAAAGACAGGAATGGCAGCGGGGATGAAGACTGGAGAATGAAAGGCAAGAGCCATTTTAGAAGCAGTTTGGAGAGAACCTGGTGACTGGCTTTGTGAGTAAAAGAGAGACAGGCAAGGAGCGACTTCTCGAGATTTCCTGGCTAGAATGACTGGTAGGATGACGACTTTTTGACAGAAATTTAAAACACTGGAGGATGGAATAATAAGAGAGAAAAGACACTTATTTTAGCTATGGATATTTGCAGTTTGAGATGTTTGTGAAACACCCAAGTAAGAGGTCCAGTAAGAAGGTAGAGAATTCATGAGAGAAGTCAGGACTAAAGAGACAAATTTTAAAATCATCAGCATCAGTATGTAGGTGAGAGTTGCAACTCTGGTAACAAATGGCATTACTAAAGATGATCTTCTCGTAAGGTAAAAAGAGATAAAGACTTCCAGAACGCTGGTGTATACACCACAAGAGCAGGTAGAGGAAGAGGAGGGAATATGATGTAAAACAGTAAACAAAAATATAAACACTCAGAAAAAGTGTGATCGTTGAAGCCAGTTAAGGAGAGCATATCACAAAACTAGAATGCAAGGGAAGTGGAGTTTGTTTTGTATTTTGCTGGGTCAGATTAGGTAACCAAAGCAGTGCAAATTCAGGGGAGAGGAATGGCTCAGGAGAATCCAAACTTGGCTTCTATTTTTCAATGTACCACTTGTTCTCTGTGGGATCTTAGAAAATGGCATAACCTTTCTGAGCCTCGGTTTCCTCTTCTGTAAAGAAGAGTTTGTTATGCACATTTTTTTAATCTACATACGGCACCAGGAAAAGGTGGCATACAGAGTAGGCAGCTACTCCCAGTACCAGGCAAACAACAGAGGTCATGGTGTGAAGCAGGTGAGTCTGAGCATCGTGGTCAGGGAAGCACCGCAGCAAGAATCCCGGTAGGAAACCTAAGCTCTTGGGGTTTAAATTTAGGCAGTAAGCTAGAAAGGCTGCTGCTTTTGCTCATAGCTGCAGAGGGAGCCTTCTAGTCAGTCTGTTCCCAGAAACTAGGACATTGTTGACCTTATGAGCCAGAGTGCATGGTTATGTCAATACCTGCAAAAGTTGTTGAAATAAGTCAGTAGATATGATTGAGACACTAAATGCTTCGTATTGGGCTAGGTACTGGGGACACAGTGAAGTTAAGGAGTTAAGATAGTGTTGTCATTGAAGAACTTAGGAGCTAGTAAAGATGTGAATACAGAAAACAATTAGGAAATTATGCTAGGCCCAGCGGTTAGATATTATAGGGAATTAGGAATGTGGAGTAGGAGAGTGAGAAATAGGAGGTAGTCTGAAGGCTACCTTAGACTTGAAGAAGCAGATGTCCAGAAGTTCAGAAGAAAAGGTCCGTGTATTGCCAACTCAGAGACATTAAAATGGAAGCCCAAATGGGAGAGTTTTAAAATTCATATTCTATATCTACAATCACAAATTCCCAGTGAAGCAGAAAATGAAGGCACCAAAAGAAAGCAAAATGGCAGATTTCCCTTTGGAAGGCACTGTTTCCAGTTTACCTGTCAGAACCTCCATTTGCCCCGATACTAAGGTCCAGCTAGCTGCCTTGAGTTTTCCTCTCTACAAAGATTCCAAGGCAATGAGCCTTGTGCAGTTCTGAATAAGCCTGAGTGGGTGCAGCTGAGAGAGATTAGTGTTTTACAGTGCACTTCACAGCACTTGAGAACAGGCAGGACATTCACATCACATGGGATGCAGACCCACATCCATGCCACTGGGTGCTCAGGCCCACTGAAAGCAAAATGCCAGGCAGGCCACCTTGAGTACCTCGTGTTTCAACTCATCTATGAGGTCCTGAGGTCACTAAGGATAAATTTAGTTCCCATTTTATGACACAAGTATCTGAGGGTCAGATATCCAGGATTTATGAGCCCTATGAGGATTAGCAAATGTACATACCCATAGAGTGATAAAAATGAGGTAATGAAGCAAGCAGTAGTTTGAATCTTTGCTTCATAACATGCTAATTTTGCTACTTTAGAAAAATTTATAGACTTTTTCAAAGCTTAATTTCTTCATTATGTCTTTTCTTATATAAAACTTCATCATGGGTTTGTGTAGGGGTGAAAAAAATGTATTTGAAGGTGCCTAGCACAGAGCTTGGCATATGGTAGGTGCTTAATAAATATTCATTGACTCTGAATCTGAAATAATTCTTCCAAGATCTTGCTATGCTGACATTTGCTGTCTGGCTCATGTGTCCATCTAAAATGCCAATGAATCCCAAATTTCAATTTCCAGCCGAGACTTCTCTCTGATATCCAGATTCATATATTTCACTGCCTCCTTAATAACTCTGTTGGGTTATCTTCCTAAATACTTCAAACTTAAAATATCAAAACCTGAACTCCCGATCTTCCCCCTAAACTTTCTCGTTCCTTATGTGTTCCCATCATAGTTGGTGGCAAGTCTCTCCTTCCAGTTGTCTGGCCCTAACATCTCAGAATGGCCTGGCTCCTCTCTTCCCCTCACACCCTACATGTGAGGGAGCCCACCACATCTTGTGGCTCTCCATTCAGTATATGTCCAGAATTTGACCATCTCTCTCTACTTTTATTGCTATAACCTTTATCAGAGCTACTATGAACACTAGTCTGTAGTAATGTGAGGTCTTCCTAACGAGGTTCTTGGCTTCCTATAGTTATTCTCAACAGAGCAGCCAGAGTGATTCAATGAAACTTATAAGAATATGAATTAATCATTTTAGGTCATAATGCAAGTTCATAAATGTGTGCTCTCTTTTCTGCTTTCTGTCATTTGGTGAAGGTTATCAATTAGAGAACAGAAAGAAAGATGGAAGCCAAAGTGGTATGGGTGAGATTTGAGAAAAGAGGCAATATAATTACAATTGAATGTTGCAGAAAATTAAGGAGCATGAACGTTAAAAAAGGATCACTGAATTTGGCTACTATGGAGTTACGGATGACATTGAAGAATGCAATCTCAAAGGAGAAGTGAAAAGACACCATTTTTGAATGTTTACAGGCGATGTGACCAGAAATGGAAAAAAGAACCATTGGTAAAATGTTTATCTAGTTTGGTGGTGAAAGGCAATGGCACAAATGTGATGACAGTTCAAACGTTCCCTGAATGAGCTGGATCACCAATCTTCGTAAAAATTGTGACTATGAATAAATGCCAGGAGATCAGAACTCTCTAAGCTTTGCCTCCTACCCCATGCTCCAGAGGATTTTATCTTTGTTTTATCCTGTTCTCTTTTTGTGTTTTTATGCCATGGTGGGACTGCATGTGGTTCAGTTCATCCCTCAAATTACCTTGTTCCATTTTGTGCTACCTGTTTACAAGTTGAGTATTCCTTATTCAAAATGCTTGGAAGCAGAAATATTTCAGATTTTAGATTTTTTCAAATTGTGTAATATCTGCACTACACATAAACATTCCCTAATCAAGGAATCCAAAATCTAAAATACTCCAGTGAGCATTTCCTTTGAACATGTCAGTTCTCAAAAAGTTTCTGATTTTAGAGCATTTCAAATTTGGAATTTTCGAATTAGGAATAATCATCCTGTATTAGGTCCATCCACCATGCTTCACTTAATTCCACACCTCAGTACCTGTAACTAGTCCAGGCACCAAAGACTTCAGCCCTTGTCCAGTGCCTTAGACTCCTGCTAGTGGGATCATTCAGTCAGGTGGGGGTTAAAATAATTATTTATATTTTATCTTTTGAGAAAATGAAGGCAAAAGAAAGTAGCTAGGGAAACCGGACAGAATGAAGATGCAGGAAAGAGCAAGTTATTGATAGACGAGGACAGAGGAAGTGGGGGATGGGATCAGGAATTCAGGTAGAAAATGCAGTTTTCCCAGGTGAGAAATTTAGTTCATTCTGGCATTTGAGCATGAACTACAGCAGGGAAGGCGGCTCATGATGACCCCTTGGCTAAATCTCCAGGGTTCCTCCAGCTACCAGACCACTTCTTCAGGACCATACAGCTACTGCTTTGACTTTCCTCTGTCACTCTCCCTCCTTCCAAATACCTGACTTAAGCTTGCCTGGCTGTACTGTGGCTCCGCTTGTTCTTCTAATTGGAAGCAGGAGGTTACCAAAGTCCCAGGTCCGGCAACACAGACGTTTTTTGTAGTTTGTGTTTGCTATGCCATTAGTGGCAGCTTCAAGCTGAGGCAAAGGCATTCTAGAGTCATTGTTCCTCTCCTAGAAATATTTTAAACCCGGGCAGAGGTGAGATTATGGTATCTTTTTTCCCTACCCGCAAAGCAAAGCCTTCTTTTTACATAAACTGAGCTTCAGACAAAGAAAACTAAACAAAGAACAACAATAACTCCCCTTGGCGGCTACTCCCGGACCATTTTATTGCCAGGCCATTATCTAAAGCCTCCTGTGATTATAAAATAGCTTTCAAGTTGAAATCTTTTTTTCATTTTTCTCTTCCTTCATTAAGTGATTGTTGCTGCCAATATAATTTTTGTTCTGGACACACTTCTACAAAAGACACTTGAGCTTCCTTGTCCTCTCTTCTCAAGGAGCACTTCCAGTAAATGCCATAATTAAAATGCAGAAATTAGTCCCATCAGACATGATTGTATCTCAAGATTCAAGTTCAAAGACACTATGCTTTGAGAATTAGAAATTGTTTTTCTTACTGTTATGTACTTCTCTATCAAACTTTTGTGGTGATTTATAGTTTACATCAAAATATAAGCCTTACCATATTGTAAGCAACTTACAATAAGTTAACGAGGTTAACTTTTTTTGTTTTTTGTGTTTTTTTGGAATGCCCACAATATTTTATGTATGGTACATTTCTAGTAATTGGATTGAATGTTTGTTTCATTCATGGAAAAGATCTACTTCTCCTGAAAAATCCTCCAAGTGTTGGCTGTCCAGTTGATAAAGTCTAGTGACCCTGGGCATGAAACTACTTTTCTTTTCCCTGCACTGTTATGCTTACCTGGATACAGAAGCCTTACTAACATGACAAAGTTGCCCCATTTGACTGAGTTCTTCATTAGCTTACATGCAATTGGACATTTGTTGCTGTCTTTTGAGAGACAATGCTATTGCCATGAAACCTCAGTGCAATATCGAATCAATATAAACTCTGCATTTGCTGAATTTATAGTTCCAGTTGTGTGTTTGTGATAATAAAGACACTCAGCTCTTGGAAATGCTTTAGACTCTTGATTCTGTTCTAATAGTTGTGAGGTGGATGATTATGGGCAGAGACTCATTTTTCATTTTCTCTGTGAAAATATAATAGAGGAAGGACAATTTTATGGAGATATGCTACAGAATAAATGCAGGAAATATCAAGGACAATTAAGGTAACAGGATATGTACAAGATGTGGCAAGATAAAGAGTGGGAGATGGATAGAGATTCTGCAGAAATAGCCACAGAACTCTCCGTTGAACCAAAATGCTTCATATATGGTGCCTCTGCGTGGTCAAAAAATGTTTTCTTTCATAAAATTTTCCAAATATAAACATTAGAGAAAATATATGAAGTCTGGCAAAGGTATTTCTCACATTTCATTAATTCAGAACTCAAGTTTGTGACCAGAACATTAAAAAAAAATTAGTTTAGAAAATTAATACTTTAAACAAGATTATTAGGGAAGCTTCTGTAAATTATTTAAAAAATGGTTTATAAGGATTTTAACGTATTCATAAAATGGAAATTCAACTCCTATTTATAAATGAGGCTTCCCTATACAACAAACCAAATTCAAGTAAGATCTGTAATTTGAAAATACTTTAGTAGTCACTAGTTGAATTACTATGAGTTCTTATAGACCAGAGCTGCCTTTCATTTTAAGGACATGTCTCATTTAGATACGATCTGATTTTGATGAGCTTCCCCTCCTGAGGTCAAATTCATGATTCTTAACATTTTCCCCATTATCATCAACTTAATTATCAATTAATACTTATCAATGTCACTAATATCCATGTCATTGCTCATTTGTTTACCAAAGAGAACTTGATATGGCTCATTCACATTTAAAACTGATTTCAGAGTATATACAGATATTAAGACTTCTTAATTGATGTTGATATTGAATTTTTCTCTTTTTTAAAACATGTGGTATTAATTGGAAGATATTTCTTTTGTGGCTTCTCCCTAACCCTCTGGCATTTAAAAATAAGATTATTAACTTTTGAAACATTTATGTATCTGTGTTCTGTTCAGTTATACAGCATCCTAGATAGATAGATAGATAGATAGATAGATAGATAGATAGATAAAGATATATTTTAGGACTGTTTTTTCCAGATATGAAATTTTAACGAGAAATTTTTTAAAAATTGGGTTATATTTACATAATGGTGTACTATGCAACAATGAGAACAATCTGTGACTACATGCAATAATATGAATTAATTGTGTAACATAATGTTGAGCAAAATAAGCCAGCTTCCACTTCTGGCTTAAAAGACAAAATTAATATATGCTGCTAGAAGTCAGAAGAGAAGGATAATGACTGTAAAAAAACATGAGGGAGCTTCTGAGTGAGGTAATGTGCTGTTTCCATATCTGGTGCTAATTCAAATAGCTATGTCAAATTTGTGGGAATTCATCAGGTGCTACAATTATGATCTTTGCACTTTTGTGTATATTATGCTTTAATAAAAACATTTAAAATGTAATTTTAGTAGAAATATAAAGATTTCTGATCCTGTAGCCTCAGTCAGGTCCCTAGAAATTTCTTCAGATGCTGCTGGGAATCAGAAAAATAAGAAATAAAATATAGTTTTTAAATGTGCCTTTTTCATGTGTCTGGAGACTTGTTAGATAAAATAGTTTATACATCTAATAGATGTTGTGAAGCAAAAATAGAAATATATTCCAATTGTCTCTTGCCATCAAACCTTGATTATTTTGACCTCTCTCATCTAAAATAAGGTCATATCCCCTCAAATGTGCATCTTTTCTATTAAAATATATTCACTAAGAAAAATGTAATTATCAGATTTAATTACTATTTTCTCATTACTTTTGAAGAATCAAGACAGTTCATTGGTTTGAAAAGAAAAAATACCTTGCATAAATATAATTAACATAGTTATATATACATAAGCTTATCATTTACAATCATATTTCATATGCCTATAACCTGTTATATATTAAACTTGGTTTTGACCTAATTCCAGCCTTGGTTTGGTATTTGTTTTTAATCCCAAGCATCATAAATTATTCCTTTACATGACCACATTTATTGAGTTCTCTTTACTTAGGGGATAAGGCTGGGTTGGGCAGTTTGAAGACCAAAGTCTTTATGTAGAACTAGAGCAAGGACTACGGAGAAAACAGCTACACTACCAAATTCTCATACATATCTCCGTACCAGTGTCCTGTCTCTGAGAGTACCACTGAAGAAATGCCTAGCTAAATTTGTTAAATAAGTGTACTCAAAGAGAGAATATTTGACACTTTCTCCTAATGACTGGCCCCCAAAGTTACTTTAAATTTTAAATAGGTCGCAGAATATCAAATATCTTTGGAAAACAAATTTTCCACAGATTTCTTCACTCAGATGTGCTAACTTAGGGGATGCTAACTTGTCATTTAGCTCAGAGAGGCTGCTTCCCAACAAGATTTGCTGCATACCCTCGCTACAAGGCCTTCATTCAAGCCTCCACAGGTTTCCACCAATGCTCAAGGAGGATTAAGTAAGAAACCTGCAAATAGTCTATGATCCCTAAATCTATCTATAATCTCTATATGCAAAAACCCACAATTAAGATCACTTCAAGAATTAGAATACTTGTGTCTCTGGTGTATCCATTGTGTTGATTGGCTGGCTGGTTTTGCATGAAGTAATAATCTCAAAAAATTAATATTACTAACAAATAAAATTATGAATAACTATACAGTTATGATGTTTTAGTTAAATGGCAGTCATTTAGAAGCACTGGGGCCTATATCAGAATCATAGTTCCAGATCCAGGCCTGAAATCTTATAAATACATGAAGATGTCTTGTTGAAAAGAAAGTTTCCATTTCCTTCAGTTATATTGATACTGATTTTTTTGCTATTATGTTTGTTATTAAAATTTAGCTATTATCCTAGTAGAAACAAATAAATGTCCATAAGACACATGAACTAATAATACAGTTTCATAAATTGCAAAGGTTTAGGTCAATCTATTGTCTTAAACTTTCAGTTATTAAATGATTTGGCATTTATATAATTTAAACATTTAAAATGTAATTTTAGCAGAAATATAAAGACTTCTGATCTTGTGACCTCAGTCAGGTCCCTTAGGTGCTATCCAAATTTCTGACAGAATTTAAGTATTTTTTATTTTATGCAAGTGAATTTTCATCCCATTTAGGTCAACTATGCTATCAATATCTCAAATAAAGCAAAAATGAAAAAGTCAAAAAAGGAAAAGGCAATTATTTATTAAATTATTTTATTTCTTCCTTGATAGTTTATTATCTAGGCCAACCTCAGAAGGGAATTAGAAGTAGGTCCAGCCTCCTCAAGGTCTGATTTTTCTGTAATTACACAACCTTTATCCTTGGTTCTAGGTTGCAACTCTGAGACTCTCACTTAAGGCTCAGGTAGTACTCCGTGTTTCCAACATCTCTTGGCTTATACAAAACCACTGGGTGGTGTGAGAATTTCATAAGAAACATATGTGAATTTAAAAAATAAAATTAAAAACTGTAAAAATTTTGAGAAACATAATACCTGTTAAAGTGCTATCTCAAAACATCTCCCTGATGAGTATCTTAATGTGGTTTTATGATACCAATGGTTTAAACAAATAATTTTAAACGAAGTTTTAGGTACCTTAAAACCTAATAGGAAAATATTTATAATGCAGGAAACTTCTAGCAACAGAGATGACATCATTTAGATAGCTAGTTTCTGCCTATGGCTACAGTCAATCCAGTTTATTAAAAATTTAATCTTAATCCTATTCATCATCATTAACTGCAGCAATTGGCCAATACATTTAAATGAAACAAATTTTGAAGATTTAGAAGCAACGACAGTTCTTCATGACACCAAGAATAGTATTTGCAGTTTAAGAAAATTTGTGTCTGCCAAATGTACAGGGAATAAAAATGTCATGAACCAGATCATTTCATATAAAGTATTTTATGTCATCCTGAACCCAAAGACTTGCAGTGGCTTAATAGAGAAAATAAATTAACGTTTATCATCAACAAATGAAAGCATTATCTCAATCTCTTAATGAGTCCTGCACACAAATTGAGATTTCAATGAAACTCTATCTCTAAAAATGTAAAATACACTTTTTAAGTATTCCCCTGTGAAATGCTTTCGGCATGTATTCTGGATGGGCTGACTGCTGGACTAATGCTTGCGTGGGAAGAATGGCATATGTTTCACCTGTTTATTTCTCTGAGATTTCCATTTTGACTTTCTCTCTTATGGTCTGGTTAATGGGTACTTAAAATGAAGTGGTACCCATTTTGCTTTATTACTTTAATTTCTTTAAAAGTGAGTTCTATTCCTTCTCTATTTCCAGTTCAAAGGCACCACAGAATCTTAATAAACTTCAAATGTATTTGGGTAGCTAATAAATTTAATGATCTCATCAACTTAAAAAATAACAAGTAAAAGTAAGTGATCTTGAGACTAATTAACAGGGCAAAGATGGGAGAGGAGAGAATTATACAGAATAGATGACAGTGCCCTTATTTCTGTCAAAATTTTCATGGAGAAAATGTAATCACTATTTTGCATTTGTTATTTGTAGCTTGAAATGTACTCTATACAGTACATTTTATCTTAGCAGTTGAAAATAATTTATAAATGTAACATTATCTGTCCTCTTTACATCTCAATAAACTAGACAGAAAATTTTTGCAATGAGAGTTGGCAGACAGAAAACAGAGTCAAAGACGGGTGCATAGCAGTTTAATAATGGCCAAGAAATAATTAATATGGAAGTGATGGTGCTTTCCTAAACGAGATCAATAGTGAACCTAAAGAGACTATTTCATCTTCTACACATGTCTATGCTTTTATTTCAAACTATGTTGATCTGATAAATTAAAATGGATATAAATGTCCTTTATTTAATGCATGATTATTCTTAGCTCAGTTTTACCATGAGACTTCAGTGGTATATACTAAGAGTTGGGGGCTGGAAGTTTCTGCCTCTGAGAACAAGAGTAATTTATCACTGGCTCTGTTTTGAATTAACTAATACATGTTTATAATAAAAAGTTGACCAACTTTTTGTTGATTTTACAATTGTTTTCAAATTCTTTGCAAATAACCCCCTTATTCTCAGCCCCTGCGGGAGAGTCCTGCTACTATGTTGCCCTTGGCCCGTCATGGGCAAGGCTGACATTTCTTGAGGTGCCAACTAATTCTGTGAGAAAGGGGATATTGTCTGTATTTTACAGATGGTAACACAGGTAGAAAATGTTAATTGGCACAACATCTTGTATCTTGTAAGGTGTGAAAGGAAGCAATCTGATTTCAGACCCCACTTGGAAGTGCCACATTCTGCTGTCTACATAAACATATAGTGTACTCACTGGGTTGTAACATATTCAGTTAAGGTTAACCTTATTTTCCATTTTCCTTCTGAATTGATAGTTTTCAAGTGATGTGCATATTTCAAAGCTAAATTACAAATTGTAGTACATTAATTATAGGTTTACACATTTGATTTAACTGATTTTCTTATTTTTTTTTTACATCATTTAATGAAATTCCTTATGGACTTATATTTTGTATCACCAACTCATTAGTATAGTAAATTGAGTACAGTATACACTGCATCAGGCTCATATAATCAAGCTCTTCTGTCAGATGAGGTCAGATGGTCTTAAAGTTTGAAACTACCCCAACAAATACTTCAGTGATACCAACAAGCAGTCATTTTATTGGGCAGATATTTGCCATTAACTTGTAAGAGTTGTCAACTTGTCTTCTGAATCAGGCTTTAGGGTACACATAGAGGGAGGAAAATGGTTTGTTGGAGCTTCTGGTATATAGTAATTTCACAGGTGTATTCAACTGTAGTCTGAGTCTTTTCATTACTTATTCAACCTTTACTGCACCTAGAGGGGCTATTGCTGAGGAGGTTTTGTGACAGTCTCAGTTTAGTGGGGCATAAATCTGGTACTGGAACAATTATCTCAAATTCATGTATAGTAAAGGAAATGCAGGAGTTTAAGAATTGTCATTTTTCATTATAAACTTGGTTTCTGTCAAATTGTATCTGTGCTACCATGTAACAGTTTATATCATTTCAGCTGCTATTTTCATGATATCATCATCATCATCATCAATGACATTAATACCATTTCTATATACTTTAAATTCTGTTTCTATTTTGTATTTCAGGAGATATTTTAAGATGTCTTGAAAATCTGAAATTTAAAAAAATACTCTAAATATGAGATTTAAGTCCCTTGTCTAATTGGTTATGTGGGTACTTAGGTGGTTTAAAAAACCTTAGAAATTGCCATTCAAATGAGTATAAGTTTATGCATTTAACATTTATTGAGCACTTCCCGTGAACCAATAATATATTAGGTCTTACATACAGAGACAAAGATAGAATATTTGCCACAGAGCTCACAGGTAGTGAAGTAGAGAGAGACCAGTACACAGAAATTAAATATGGCATGGTAAGTGCTCTTACAGGACCAAGCAGCAGAAAGGTTGTTGGATACTAAGACCATGAATTCAAAATGTCTTAGATTATCTATTGATGTTGTAATCATGACAGAAGAAAAAAATTATTTCCCATTTTTCTATTTGGTATGGTCTGACAGTTTTCGTGCTACAAAAGGCAGAGTATAGGGTCCTTTAACCTTACCTGTAACCAAGTCTGAGGTCTAGATCAGCAGTGAAACTTCTCCTGTATTCCTCTTAGAACTCCTATTGATGCACTTAATAGCATCTGCATTCAGTTGTCTAGAAAGTGAAAACTGGGAGTGAAGAGTATAAAAATTTAGTGGAATTGTAACAGCAATATTAGCAGAGGAGAGAGAAGGCAATGAAACCATCAAATGGTCTGCCAACTCCAGAGTATATGGAAGAGCAAATATTGCGCAGTATCACTACTTTCTACATGTTTCTTTCCCTCTCTGCAGGAAGAGTAGATAAGATCATTGGCTTTAGCAACTTACGATTTGAGAAACTGAGAGTCTTTCCCTTCCAAATTTATAATACTAGGATGAGTATTATTTTTTTACCCAAATGATAAAATGATAGTAACTTTTTGCCTTTAGATAGTACTTAAAGTCATCTTTACCTGTGGAATAGACACTATGCAACACTTGGAGCCAAAGACCTGGGACCATTAAAATAGAAGTCATTGTTGCTTCCCTAAGCACTTTTTCTTTATCTTTCTTTATTTTTTCTTTTTCTTTTTCTTTTTTTTTTTTTTCTGACAGAGTCTTGCTCTGTCACCCAGGCTGGAGTGCAATGGTGCAATCCCAGCTCACTGCAACCTCCACCTCCCAGGTTCAAGCGATTCTCTTGTCTCAGCCTCCGGAATAGCTGAGATTACAGGCATCTGCCACCATGCCCAGATAATTTTTGTATTTTTAGTAGAAATGGGGTTTCACCATGTTGGCCAGGCTGGTCTCAAACTCCTGACCTCAAGTGATCTGCCCGCTTCGGCCTCCCAAAATGCTGGGATTACAGGTGTGAGCCACCATGCCTGTTGTTTCTCCTTTCAAATTTTACCCTATCAGCAAGACTTGTCATGGGATTGTTCATGGTGAAGACTATTTGTATAGCACACTTCTACTCCAGTATTGACACTTTGGCACAGAAATAAGCCATCTACAAGCATATTATTTTAACAACTAGAATTCTAGCTAATTTTAAATATCTAAAAGTTTTTAATGCTTTAGATATCCCAGAGTTGGTTTTTGATTGTCTATTGTCTGTTTTTTTAAAGCATATGTACCCCGCTTATATTTTTCCAGACTTTATGAACACATTTTCCTTCTCTTTCTTTACCACCACTATAATACAAAAGGTAAGAAAAATGAGATTTCATCCTGGTCCTTGATGCCAAACATAATAAGTTTCCAAAATGATCCAGATGTTCTAATGATGTTCCACTGTCCATTTTCACTTTGATTATAAGCATAGATCAGGTTTTATGCCCTGAACCTATGTATCATTACCTTACTTTAACTTAAATTTCTTGACATTTCATTATATGAAGTATTACTTTTTTTGTCACCACAGTTCCATTTCACAGTATTGGGATTCTAAACAACTAGCAGAACGAAGATATATCACCATGAAAGTAGGCCATAAATAGGTTTGTGTTCATGGTGGACTATTATAAAAAGCAATTGTGTAGATATATGGCCAATATTGCTATAGTCATAGTGTAGGCAGGCCTCCTAATCTTCAATTTGAAATGATTTTATTCTTTTCTTAATCCTAAGACTGCTGATATCAGTCTCATGTAATATCTTTTTCCATAATACTTGGCATCGATTTTCTTACATTTTTAATTGAATGCTGAGTCACCATCATTTTGCAGCAGGTGCTAGGTATACCACATAGAAGATTTGCATGTTATGTGTCTGGAGGATATTACTTCTTTGGCCGTGCAGCTATCACAGAGAATGTAGTCATTCATAGGATACCATTAGAGAATGTCTTGTGAACTAACCATGGGTATCAGAGTTTAGAAACCACACAGTGTCTCCAGAAATACAGGTCACTTCAGAGCATGATATGAATGTATGGCAAAGTGACATGAATTTCCTTCTTTTTTTTTTTTCAGCCGCTACGGAATATTAATTTCTTTCCCCTGCAGCTCTTTTACCTATATCCTCTGATTTCCCCACAGCTTCTAACAACCTCCAATGTTAAAGTGGGGGAGAAAGTACATTTGTATTTATGTATGTGGAAGAATGTGCCTACATTATGATATATAAATATAGGGACTTTTAATATTCATAGTAGTACACACAGAGACATTTGCATATTCTTTGCTGCAGCCTCTGCTAAGCACTCTAGCTTACTTTAAAACCTGGCTGATGTAGCTTAATGTGACTTATCAGGTGACAAGAATCTCAGCAGGTTGTTGAGAAATATTTGTCTAACATGTTTTCCTTCTAGAGAGGGGCTGAGGTACTATTCTTTTTGGCCATTCCATCTGATGCTATTCTTTCAAATTATCCCAGTGGTACCCATTGGGTCAATGTAGGCACATGGATGAGTGCTGGAAAATAATTATAATTTTACCATCTTCTTCTAACTGTGTGTGCCCTCAGGCCAAGTGGTAAAATACCACCTCCGCCAGCCCTGACATCCATCATTGTAATGAGCTACAAAATCAATCTGTAATTGACAAAAGCATTTTTAATCAAAGTATGAGGCATTTAGAGTCTCCAGATACTGCCTTTTTGTCTTACGTCAGTATTTACTTTATAGCAGGATGGGAGATATTTGATTTTGTTCAAGAGCATGAGCTATTACTGCAAAGGAACACAGATATGCTTTTCAGAAATTCCTCCCACCCACCTCCCCTCCTACCCCCACAAACATAAGACAGCATAATCCCTGAGTTCTGTCACAAAAACATCAAGTTGAGAAGCTCATGCTTTCCTATTTTAGAGGGAAGAAAGGCTTGTTTTTTGTGAATGATTCTGCCAGTGCTTTCTGCCAATTGCCTCTCTACAACAAATTACTACTCTTTGATTTAAGCTACCACCATATATGCAGAAACTAATCCAGAAGGCTACTTTTTTTTGGCCCCTACCTTCCAGTTACTTGGATTTGTTTAGGCATCACAAAACATTCCTTTTAGTAGTATTGTTTCTCCTTGGTCAAGTTAAACTCCCCAAAGCATAATGATATTTGGACATTTTAGATAACTACCCATGAAAAGTTTTAATATGTTTCCAAGTGGCAGTTATTATAGCCAAAGGCAACATATTTATGGGTACATGCAATGATTTTCTGGGCATGAGTTCTTATGTTTTTATGGGATGTGTTCCAGATATTTAGTGTCAACTCTTCAGTTTGGGAACCACATTAGTATCATCTGTTGGAAGGCAAAATTCTTGGATACTGAACCATGCCCAGAATCTCCTGGATACTTTGGCCTTACTGTTTATATATGCAAGAGAAGCCACCTCACTATCTGGACACAGAGAACAATGTGTTTTCAAGGAAAATTACCTAAAGGTTGCAATAATAGCTGCACCACAGTTTATATAATCTGATGTTCTCATGTATGGATGTTATGGTTAATTTTGTGTGTGCGCGTGTGTGGTGTGTGTGTGTGTTTTTAAGTCTGAGCTGGTAATTAAAATCTTATCTAAATGATTTTAACATTCCTAGAAACTTAAAAAGTATTTTAAACATTTCTTCTTTTTTTTTACTTCTTACTTTTTTCTTCTTCTGCTTTGATTTTAGGTTCTGGGGATACATGTGCAGGTTTGTAACATGAGTCAATTGTACATCACTGAGGCTTGGTGTATGAATGATCCCATGACTCAGGTAGTGAAGGTAGTACCTGATAGGTAGCCTTCCAACCCACAGTCCTCTCCCACCACCCTCCTCCTTCAATCAGTCCCTAGTGTCTATGTGGTATTACCTATACACCTTGGAATACTATGCAACCATTAAAGAAGAACAGATTGGTTTCATTTGCCGCAATATGGATGCAGCTGGAGGCCATTATCCTAAGCAAACTAACACAGGAACAGAAACCTAACTACTGCCTGTTCTCACTTACAGTTGGGAATTAAACATTGAATATACTGATTTTTTTAGACTATATTACCTCTATGTAAACTAATAAACATTGCTTATAATGTAATATTTAAGGAGTGCTTACTCAATGTCAAGCACTATGCTGAGTACATTATGACTATCGCTACATATAATTTTCTCAACAATTCTATGAGCTAGATCTTACCATTGTTCCCACTTCATAGGTATGGAAACTGAAGGTTAGAGAAGTGATATAATTTGTTCAAGGTCACATAGCTTAGAAGTAGTGAAAATATGATTGAACACAGGTTATCTGACTCCAAGGCCCAAACTTTTATCTCTACTTTGATAAAGGATTAGTAGACATATCACCTCATGTTATTCATCATGCTACACATTTTTATTGGTTTCAAGAAAGCCCATTCTCATTTATACATTTTCTTGACTTTTGTTCATGGAAACACTACCCAATTTACTTAAATTTATTTTCAGTTTACTTAAACTTGTACAGATAGCAGTAAAGAAGCCACTTTGTATCCTTGGTTTTAGTTGGGTTTTACAATCTAAGAGATAAATACTAAATATTAAAAGTAGAACTTTGTTGCCAGTGCAAGTATACTAATGGATCTACTTTGGGTCTATTGATGCTTTTGCTTAGAAGAAAAGTCATGTTAAAGAAAAATCATGGCCGGGCGTGGTGGCTCACACCTGTAATCCCAGCACTTTGGGAGGCCCAGGTGGGGGGATCACGAGGTGAGGAAATCAAGACTGTCCTTGCCAACATAGTGAAACCCCCGTCTCTACTAAAATGCAAAAAATTATCTGGGCATGGTGGCGCACACCTGTAGTCCCAGCTACTCAGGAGGCTGAGGTAGGAGAATCACTTGAACGTGGGAGGCAGATGTTGCAGTGAGCCGAGATCATGCCACTGCACTCCAGCCTGGTGACAGAGCATGATTCCATCTAAAAAAAAAAAAAAAAAAAAAGGAAAGAAAAAGAAAAATCATATTAGACTAATAAAGCTTAACTTTCCTTGGAAAGAGCAGTTGTTAAAGGGGAGTAGATATGAAAGTAGAGTTGCAGTATAGAATACCCTTACTCTGATAGCTATCCCCCTAACATGTTTGGGAGCAGTTTGGTGAGTTCTTAAATGAAAAATTACATTCAGTATGTCCTTCAGTCTATATGTCTATGAGATACACTTAGTAGCAAGGATGGCAGCTTTTGCCTGGAAGTTCATGTTGCATAACACCTTGTTCTCACTTACATAGCTATTGCTTATTAATAGATAAGTGTTATTATTAAACATATGTTATTTTAATGAATATGTCTTATCAGTACAGCATGGGCAATTTGCATAGTTATCCACACTTAAAAATTCCTAACTCCTGAGCGTTCACCATAGTAACAGATACCACATTCTCACGTTGATGAATACCTATTTATTCTGATACTGTGATTAAGACAAAAAATATGCCTTTATAGCATTTGATGCACATTTGGAAAAGCATTGATTGACCCAAATACATGTCACTTGCTAATTAATATTTAAAAGAATTCCATGGTGTATATGCACCACATTTTCTTTATCCAGTCTATCACTGATGGGCATTTGTGTTGGTTCCATGTCTTTGCTATTGTGAATTGTGCTCCAATGAATGTATGTGTGTATGTGTCTTTCTAATAGAACAGTTTATATTCCCTTGGGTGTATACCCAATAATGGGATTGCTGGGTCAAATGGTAGTTTTGTCTTTATGTCTTTGAGCAATTGCCAGTCTTCCACAATGGTTGAATTAATTTACACTCCTACCAACAGTGTAAGTGTTCCTTTTTCTCCACAACTTCGCCAGCATCTGTTATTTTTTGACTTTTTAAAAATAGGTATTCTGACTAGTGTGAGACGGTGTCTCATTGAGGTTTTGATTTGCATTTCTCTAATGATCAGTGATGTTAAGCTTTTTTTCACAAGATTGTTGGCTGCAGGTATGTCTTCTTTTGAAAAGTGTCTGTTCATGTCCTTTGCCCTCTTTTTACTGAGGCTTTTTTGTTTTTTTCTTGTAAATTTGTTTAAGTTCCTTATAGATGCTAGGTGTTAGACCTTTGTCAGATGCATAGTTTGCAAAAAATTTCTCCCATTCTATAGGTTGTCTGTTTACTCTGTTGATAGTTTCTTTTTCTGTGCAGAAGCTCTTTAGTTTAATTAGATCCCATTTGTCAATTTTTCCTTTTGTTGCAATTATTTTTGGTGTCTTTGTCATGAAATCTTTGCCTGTGCCTATGTCCTGAATGGTATTGCCTAAGTTGTCTTCCAGGGTTTTTATAGTTTTGGGTTTTACATTTAAGTCTTTAATCCATCTTGAGTTAATTTTTGTATATGTCTTGGTTATTCTGGCTCTTTTTTGGTTCCATATGAATTTTTAAATAGATTTTTCTAGTTCTGCAAAGAATGTCAGTCCACATATAGGCTTAAAATAAAGGGATGGAGAAAAATCTACCAAGCAAATGGAAAACAGAAAAAAGTAGGTGTTCCAATCCTAGTTTCAAACAAAACAGTCGCTAAACCAATAAAGATCAAAAAAGACAAAGAAAGACTTTACATAATGGAAAAGGGTTCAATTCAACAAGTAAAGCTAATTATCCTAAATATATATGCACCCAACACAGGAGCACCCAGATGCATAAAGCAAGTTCTTGGAGACCTTCTAAGGGATATAAACCCCCACACAAAAATAGTGGGAGACTTTAACACCCCAACTCGCAATATTAGAGTCTCCCGTAACAGGCATGCCTCCTGTTGCACAAATGGATGTATATAAGATGATGCAGAAAGGTTAAAGAAAGACATTGATTGACATGGCTAGAAAATATGAAGGGAAAATCTGTATTTTTATTACAGTAGAGGTAAGTAGTATTTTTCCTATCTAAAACCATCATTGGAATTGACAGGAGTTAGAACTCTTGGCCATCTATTGACCTGAACTAGACTCTCCTTAATGACATTCAGATCAGAATAACAATCAGAGTAAAGGGCACAGGCCTCTGATGTCAGTTCCAGTGGAGCCTATACTGTCTGGGATATGCATTATCCTTCTCTCTTAATATTTATCAGCACTGATATGGCACCTTATGGTTTCCAACACATTTGACTGCTAATAAATTGATCACAATGCATCTGGGAATTAGAGAGTATATCACTGACAGGTCTCAATTATTCAAGTTGATGGAGGGAAGACCTCAAAACAAAAGTATAATATGTTAAAAATCCTTATATAGCTTTGTACTTCCCTTATATCTCCTGACTTCCTTCAACTGCTTGTTGCCGTTTCCAGGAACGGCTTGCAGTCAAACTGATGAAATTGGTTTCCAAGAAACTGGAATATATATTGAGAATAAAGTTCAAGAGCCCTATGGCCTAATCCCAGCCTCACTGCTGACAGTTTTTGGAAAAACACTGTTTTCCAGACCTCGGCTCTAATATTTATAAAATGAGTAAAAGTCCTTCTCATGTGTGTTTTAGGGGTATGTTGAAACAGTAAATAGTATATTAGCTAATTTATTACAAGTCAATAAACCAGACTCTTCAGACATGTCAGCTACTTTGGAGACTGTTTTAGAGAAACAGTAAACCAAATATGTTATTTTATTGTTTTACATTTTTGATGAGTAAAATTCTCTACAACACAAAAATAAATAGCTGACATGATCTTATATCTTACAATCTATGGTCCCTGGACCAAATCTCTCCTACCTTCCACTCTGGGATCTTCTGAGGCAGTTCACCTAGTAGCATGCTATTGTAGAAAGAATGTTGATTTGGCATTTATAAGATCTAGGTTCTCATCCTACCCGAATCACTAATTAATTATATGATCTTTGGCAAGTGTCTGTATTTATTTATTTATTATTTATTTATTTATTTTTTACTTGAACCATCAACTTGATTTAGTTGACATTTATAAAACACTCCACCCAACAACAGAACACATATTATTTCCAAGTGCACGTGGATCATTTATCAAGATTGATTATATTCTGGTCCATAAAACAAATTTCAGTAAATTTATTTCTATTTCAATAGTTTTTGAGGAACAAGCGGCATTTGGTTACATGGATAGTCTCTGTTTCTTTAGATCTCAGTTCCTCCATCTATATAATTTGAAAATTGAATTAAATGTAGCTGTGGTATGTTCAACACAAGGAGTTCTTTTTATTACTTATTCCCATATATTTTATTTAGAAATATTTGGCTTATGAAAATCAATCAATAATTTATTTTTTTCATTTTTATTCATTAAGAATGTTTTTATTGAATATATATTAAAAGAGCAAAAACAGCAGAAAAGATAACAAAAAAGTTATTTATTTGATAATATGGTTGCTATTTTCATGATCCATGAGAGGCTTAATTTCTACTAGGGCTTTGAAATATTAGAAACAGATTATGATCCTCTTCACTACCTTAGTAGGTCTTTTGAAAAAATAGGAGTCTATAAAGATCTGGAACCACAGGACTTGACTATCTTTAAGGTCCCATCTGGTTCAAACTCCTTATGATTATGAGTATTAAACCTTAGTCATCAACCATATATTTTGATTTTAAGCTAGGTTTTTCTTGCCTTCTAAGTGACCAGAGGTTGCCATTTGGATGTTCTGAAATAAGCTTCATAAAGTTATCAGACTTCCTATTTGGTAGCCAACTCTTCCTGTGTATCTTAGAATCTTGGACTTATTCATCCCACTACTAATAGGGTAAAAGACACTGAAGCTGATGGTGAAATTAAACAGTCAAAGGGCCTGGGTGGAAGTATGTACAAACCAACCTGAAAGATAATTTCTATAATCATTATTTCATCAATAGAAAATGCTCTTGAAAAATAAAATTTTAGGAATAAGTGTTTAAATTAATGAAGTCTTCCTAGCCAGAGAGTAGAGGAATCCAAGCATTGGGAAGTTTTCGCTTGCATTGTAATGTGAACTGTCTTAGCACTGGGGTTGCCTGAGTTAGAGGATGGATCATCTTTCTTTAGTTCTAGGTCCAAGAAATGCTATGAACTCACCCCATCAGACCTCAACAGTCTTATCTGCCTTCATTCCTCCTTACACACTGGAATATCAGGCAAAACTAAATGGCTGTTGCTCCTCAACAGTGTTAAAGGCCTTGCCTCAGTGTCTTCCTTTACACTATTCCCAACACCTAGACATAATCACATGTCTAAATTCAACCCACTCTTCAAAGCCATGCTCAAAAATGAGTTCTTCCATGAAGCATTACTACACTATACCACTCCAGCCAAAGTATTATTGCATTGTCATACCATCTTATGAACTCCTAGCAGTTTCTTGTAATCCTCCTCCACTCACCCTGGTTGACATTTCACTTATATTCCCAGTAAGTGTGCCATCTTGGCTTTCTCTCTCCTACCAGGCTCCAGTCTCCTTTAGCATGAAAACTAGAACATATTCATCTTCATATTATTATAGTAGTACCTTGTGCTTATGAGTCGCACAGTTAATATATGTTGAATGACTAAATGCATGTTATTCTGTCAGAAAGTTAAGACATTATCTGATTATGGTTACAATGATTTAGAAAAGAATCACTCCAGATTCTGCACTCTTTATGTGTATACTTCTTTTTCTGATGATAATTAAAGAAGACCCATCAATTCCCCTTCTTGTTAATTCTATTCCCCACTTGGGCAGTTTTGTTAACAAGAATTTGCCAACGAAGCGACAGAGCAAATTCAAAAGATTAAGAAAAAAAAAAAAAATCAGACTTACAGCACTTGAAAAAAACCAAAGATGTTGACATCATTCTTCCTCTGGACACTTGTTCTACTTGCCATTTTGGTATAAGGACAAGTTTTTTTTTTATCCTATGCTAATGCACCACATTATCTTCTTTGCAAATGAAAGGAGAAGAAAGGCGAGGAGATAGTTCACACTTAAGATAGTTTTGGAAACGCGGTGACAAATTCAGTTATAGTCCATGAAGATAATGCCAAGCACATAGGCAGCTGAAAGGCCACACTGGGTAGGCTGTTCTGACTTTTCTTTTAAATCTGAACCAGTTCCAGTTCTTTTATTTTTTTTTTTTTTGTGATTAGAAAGTGTAATTGAAAATCATACAAGCATGGTTTTAAAGTCATCTTAATGAAGTAATTAAAGGCTACAAAAATACAATATCTCATTTAAGAAAGTAATAAAATCACAATCAATCAATTTTTTGGATCCCAGAGGTATGTGAGAAAAGGGACAATAAAAATTTTATTACATTATCAGTCTGGCTCCTCTATAACTTATTAGAAGAATATTCTTTTTCTCACTGTGCTTTTCTGTTAGTCAGTGAAGGTTGGCCATTTTCTGAAGCAAATGCTCAACAATTATCAGAAAGCCAGAGAAAAACGGGACCAACCACCCCTGCGACAGTGTCCTCAGATTGTACTGCTCTCCCCTCATCTGCTTTTATTTTGTCTCAAACTGACCTATCGTGCTCACTACCACCAGGTATAGTATAGTAGTGGCTAGCAGTATGCCCTCTGGAGTCAGAGAGCCTGCGTTCAGGTTTTATCTCTACCACTCACAAGTTGTTAATGTAGTTATTCAACCTCTTTAGACCTTTGGGTTTTAGCTGTACAATGCAGTTACAAAATAGTGTCTGCCTCATGGGGATGCTTTGAGGATTAAATGAGATGACGTACATAAAGTGCTAACCACAGTGGTTGGCAAGTGATCACTACTTCAGGTAAGCTGCAGTTACTCACGTGTTCTTCCCCGAGAAAGAATCCAGTTAAGCTCAGTTGTTCTTCCCCTCTACTCATTTTTCACAGCCTGAATCTATATTTGGTAGTGCTCCCAGACACTTGTGGCATGCACATTGTCTTTCTTCCTGATCTGAACCACCAGGTAACACAGGCATGACAGCCTCTCTCGTGCTCACCCTGCATCGTGTCTTGTCTATTTATCCCCTTTTAATGCCTCTCTTCTTGTGATCTGAGCAGTAGTGTTCATATTGCATTCTTACTGCCTTTGCATTACCTGTTCCTACCAAAACCAGTCTCAGTTGTCATTGCTCCTTGTTGGAATACTTGATGGGCTTACCACCTCCAAGGCTGGAACTGGTCCCACCTAGCTCTGCAGTCCCCAGATAACTCAAGACTAAAACAGAAGTCATTTTCAGAAGAGTTTTATTTGGAAGGTCGTAGAGAGCTCACTGGCACAGGGGGTGAGTGAAGCTGAGTCCAGGCAGGAAATGGAGATGAACAGAAGGGGGACATTGAAGCAGCAAAGCATGAATATGCTGGAAGGAGTGAGTGAGAGCAAAGGAGAAGAAGAGATATGACAATACAAGGAAAGATGCAAGAATTGTCAAGAAAAAACCTGGAGAAGCTTTACTGCAAGGTAGGGATGTAGAAGCTAACTATGAGAGGAATATATTAGAAAGTTACTAACGGACAAATATGAAAGCTACAGAACATAGTCAATAGAGGAAAAATAATGGGAAGCTAGACGTAATCATAAAATAAATAAGATGGGGGGGAGGTAATGAGATATCCAAATTTTACAACTTAACATGTTGCACTCCATCAGTGCTCTATGAGTTGCGTAATCTGGAAAATTCCTATGGGGATCAAAACAATGTTGACATGGCCGTGAGGCCACTAGTGCTAGAGGAAGAACTTTTTGTTTCTCAGAATTTCTGTTGGTAATAAAAAAATTAGAGTGTTTTGAATTAGCATACAAAGAAAATATCAAAGGAATCAAGGAAAATTATATTGAATTTTGAAGGAACAACGTGAATGGATAATTTGAAAATAGTAAATGCTTTTATATAGTGGGTGAAATGGGTTAAATGTTCTGAGGTAGTTCAGAAAAAGAACAGTATACTACCACAGTAGGCAGCAGAATAGACCCTAAAGGGGATTAATATAGTTATTGTTGCTATTTTCAATGTGGTTGCTATTATTGTCATTTCTATTCTAGAAGTTATCTAGCATTGTGTAGTTATTGTTTTAAGCATTCTGAATGTAGATGTCTCCATCTTCTAGTGTTATATTTTACATTATTTGTAATTTCAGTAGTTTCAGTTAATGTAAGGTGATAAAATATTTCTCTGAAAATTTAAGTCATTTACATTTTAAAACCAAACTTACAGATTGGCACCATGCCCAGTGTTTTTGGCAGTGGCTTGATCCAACCCCAGTTGGGGCGTGAGAGATAGATGTTACCCAGAGCATAGAAAGCAGAGAAGGTGCATAGGATCACATCAGGAAGCACTGCCCACATCCTGAAACCACCATAAGGCACCAGAAGGAGAAAGCCACCTGGTGTTTAATGGTGCATAGTGACACTTCACATAGGCCTGTAACTGGGATTTGGGCAGCTTCACTTTTCAACCTTCTATGCCTGTTTGTCAAATATCATTTGAAGAAAACTTCAGTTATATGCACTCTCTTTATTTCTAAGCAAGAGACTGCTTTGAATCCCTGCTTCGTTTTTAACTCTCACAGACTTTAATATATACCTGTATGGAAAAGGAAGGAATTTCCTTTCTGGACAGCCAACGTCTAGTTTTCTTTCTGGGATCTATCTGGGCTCTTCAATACTAAGGGGTCCAAAGGGATCTCTAAGCAAAAGCAATTCTAGGAAGAGAAACCTCTAAAGTCTCAGGAAATTCCAAACTTCCAAGTTTTAAGGTCTTCCTCATGCAACACATATACAATATAGTTGTAGGCCCTAAAAGTTTTGAAAGCTTCTGCATTTCTTACCAAGCTTCATCACTTTTCTTATAAAAAGTTAGATCCCCAAAAAGGTGAGATGAAATATTGTTGTACTTCTCAGACCTTTTCAGTCTATATTATTCAATTTAAAAATATATGGCAACCTCCACTTTATGTGAGAAAATCACATCTGACTAGCTTAGTTAAACAGAGTGTGAAACTTATAATTTTGGGATCAATATTTTAATTCCATTGTGTATTAATTCCTATTGTTGTTTTCCCCTTCGTTTTATCTTGGCCAAATGCCTCAAAATACACTTGAATTGATCACAGATTACCAAGAGACATAATGTTCTTGAATTAATGCGTTTGTAATACATAGCACACCCAGACGAAAATAACCCTTCTTATAACAGCATTTGGAGAGGATGTTCCTTGCCTGATTTTTCTTAGTTTGAATACCAGAATTTTGACTCTAATAGAAAAGGATTAAGTTATGCTAGTTATTTTTATATGGAAAATGCTAAGACAGATTCTCATCTTGGGACTACCTGGAAATGTCTAAATAATTTGCGAAGAATGACTGTTAGAAGAATTTGAAACCCATTTTACTCAGAATTGTATATACCACATCAGAGAAAGAAAAGCCTGACACTGTCTCATTTTCTCTCTCTCAAAAACAAATTAATAATTGGCCACTCTTTGAGACATGAGAGTTTTCTCATGCTTCATCTGGAGACTCATCTTTGTGTTAGCATTCAAAGTGAAGATTCCAGGCCTTCCATTTCTGTACTGTGATGCTGTGTTTTCTCTCAAGGCTCCATAACAAAGTTTAAACCTTTTATTGTTCACTTTTTCAAAATGTATTCTTTAGTACTGAACTATATACGCTCATTCATTTAGAAAAGCTATATAAAGCTTCAGCTCAGTCCTCTAATCTGTGGAGGCTGAGGCTTTTATTTTTGTTTTCAGTGATAAGAGCATTCTGTATTCAGGTTCTGATATTAGGAAAAACAATTTTTCAAGCCTTTAGGTGGAAAGACTCTTCCTGCTTAGGTCTGAACTGAAAACAAATCCCCCATTTTTTTTTCAGTGCCTTGTCTCTTCCTAGTTAACACCATTAAACATTGTACTGGTGACAGTAGCTCAGGATGCTCCCATTGAATCATTTTATATTGCATATAGAATAAATTAAACACATCTATACTATACTAAAGACAACCTACAGCATTGGATCACCTTTCACTAGTAGCATTCTCCAGAAGAAGAAAAAAGAATTATTACTAGGGCAAAATGCTCCAATTAAAACCACCTACAATCCTACCACCTAATGATAACTACTGTTAATAATATTTGGCTGCATCTTCCAGTCTTTTTAAATAAACAAATATATATATATATATATACACACACACACACACACACACATAGACACACACGCACACATATATATGTTGTCTTAGAAAAATTGAATCCTTTCTGCATATATTTTTGCTGCCTGCTGTTGAAAGGAAAAAATATATCAAGAACGATTTCTTAGCTCATCAAATACTCTTCTACACCTTTCATCTCTTTTTAACTTTCGTGTGCTTTGACCTCTCTTCAACAAATAAATAAAAATTAAAATTGAGGGACAAAACTGAAGTCTACATACCTTGAAAACTTTCTACATTGATTAAATAATCAGATTACCAGTGGCAGGACATTTCTTCCCTCAGTCCCAGAAGACCATTCCAAACTGAATCTCTAATTAGGTCAACTAACTTTTGAATAAAAAGGGACACCACTGCACCAAAGGGCAAGATGCTGGAAACAGTAGAGGAAGGGTTAAATAGAATAGATTAATAGTTTTAATTAGCCTTTATTATATTTGTCCAATTTTTGTTGCAGAGAATGAAATCTACTCTAGATCATTTAAGCGAGAAAGGCTCTATCAAAGAAAAATACAGGCTTATGAATCACATGGGTAGGTTGAAAAAATAGATTTTAGACTGAATTTTCAGTTTAATAGTATGTGTTTTGGACATACCATTAAACTATCACACCAAGGGAGGCAGTCCCTCTTCTATGATGAGTAGGCCACCGGCTCTAGAAGCTCTAATATTCAGAAAATTTCCATTGCTGCTGACTGGTTCAAAACCGTGTTACATCTGAACAAGATGGTCCCAAATAGAAGAAGCTTCAGAGGAATGATTCCTCACCCTGCTTCTCAATACCCGTGAAGCTAGTGATTGGACACTGGACCCTCTGCTGACAGTGCTGTCAAACAACCAAATGCCTCCACATCTCTCCTCATTTCCACTTTCCAAATCTAACCAAAGTGCTCTGACTAGCAAACTCTAAATTACGTCTGAAAATCTAGCAACAAGGAGGTCTTGCAAATATAGTTTTTAGTGTTGTAACTTTGGCATTATATGAAGGTGTGTGCTAGAAAGAACATTGAATGAATGTAGAATATCAATCCATGCTATCCACAACAAAAATCTAAAATACTTTGGGAAGATTTATCCACTTATCTCCCTTAAAATGCTTTCCAACTTGCTGGATGGTAAGATAAAATTTTAGACAGTTTTGTAAAAGACAAATGTTTTTGTTCAACTGGAGATTAATCTAAACCCAATCTCTGGTTAAGACCTGAGGAATCAGGTACTCACAATTAGGCAATTTTGGAAAACAGTGACTTTTAAAATGTAAGGTATTAGTATTGCCTCAAAAAATGCTTGTAGAGTTAGAAGGAACAAGATCTCAACCTTACCAGGCATTTGGCAGATGACAAATACTTTATGAGTAAACCAATTCCTCTGGTAATTGGTTTTCCTAGTAAAAGTACTTATATTAAAATACTTTTAAGCCAAGCGTGATGGCTCACACTTGTAATCCCAGCACTTTGGAAGGCCGAGGTGGGCATATCACCTGAGGTCAGGAGTTCGAGACCAGCCTGGCCAATGTGGCAAAACCCCGTCTCTACTAAAAATACAAAAATTAGCCTGGTGTGGTGGTGAGCACATGTAATCCCAGCTACTTGGGAGGCTGAGGCAGGAGAACTGCCTGTACCCAGGAGGCGGAGGTTGCAGTGAGCTGAGATTGTGCCATTGCCCTCCAGTCTAGATGACAGAGCGAGACAAGATGCCTCTTGTCTTATTTTTATTTTTAATGATTCTGGTATTTTTTCTTCTGTAAGAAAACAAAAATGATCTTATTTCTCTACTAACTATATAAAGTTTAAATATTCCCAAAAAAAAAACACAGCAGTTTTAAAGACATTTGCCCAAGACTTCTAGGCCTCATAAAGCCTATAGCTATTTAGTACATTATTTTTACAAGAAAATGATTCCAGCGACCTGTTATTGATAACCCACATATTGTTTGAGTTGTTTTTCTGCTATCAAGTAATACTATATTGCAATGCCCTATCTACACACTCTTATGCAGTCTCCTTGAAAAGTTACAGGAATGCAAGCTAAGAGTATATATATATACGTATATATATATATATATATACGTATATATATGTGTGTGTGTATATATATATATACACACACATATATATACATATATATATATACGTATATATATATATATACGTATATATATATACATATATATATACGTGTATATATATATATATATATATATATATATATACGTATATATATATATATATATATATATATATATACCTTTTGGCAATAAGACAAAATAAAGCTGACTCCCTGTGCAGCCTGATGAGGAAACCCCTTGGATTGGTCAATCACATACTAACCAGATTTCATTCACTTCAGGTAGAAGTGAAACTAACATGTCCTGCTTTGCAAGCGGTCTAAAAATTGTGTAATAATCAAGATTAGGAAAATTTTTCTAAATCTTCCCTGAAGTGAATGAAGAACCCCTACGTTTACATTTTAGAGTTTGTTCAACCAGTAATCAAACCATTTCACCCTTTCTCATCACTAAGAGAAAACTGAGATAAAGATCTTGGTTCTTAGCTATCTGGTCACCTGAGAACCACTATTGTGAACATTTGTTTGAGAATACCCTAGTTAGATGCCACTGAAGAAATTAATGTGATTGATAATGACCATAGGGGACTACTAATTTTAAAGGTGTGGCTGAAGGTGGTTCAAGATAAAAGAAGAAAAGGGGAAATAAAAGGATGTATTTCTACTTCTTAGTCTATTGGCATCTGGTAGAAAAGAGCTTCTTGAATTCTTTCCTGCTTCCCACTAACCACTTCCCCACTCCTTTCACATACACAAACACACACTTCATCTTTCACGTCTCCTTCCATGCTCATAGGTATCTTTGTCTTTCCACATGACATTAGATGAAATATCAGCCACGTCATTTTGTAAAGTGAAGTGTAATAAATAGCTAATGTATTTTTTCACTTGAGCAGTACTTCAGAAATAAGGGGAGGTTTTTAAAATGGTAAATAGATAATCATTTAAAGATATGGGATAATGAAAAAAAGTTCATTGTTTGGTTGAAATTTCCTTATACATTTTAAATTGGAAGTTTAATTGAAATTTAACAGATGATTAGTTCATAATATAGGTTAATTATTAGTAGTAATGAGATTTGCCCATAACAAACTGAATATTGTATCTTTATAAGATTTATTTCCTATACTCTCTATTTAAAAATTAATTCAAAATTAGAATATTTCTAGTTTGTTTCTTTCTTGAAAATTAACTCTTCCAGACTAACCTAGAAATAAATTACTTCCAAAAATGGCCTAGAATTATACATGCCTCTGAAATAAAAATTGAGTATTCTATTTTGTCCTCAGGGCTATAAGCAAGGCCAGATTATTTTTCATTGTTTTTCTTTGATCAACTAGAAGTTTCAGGTACTAATTTACCTCTTTGCAAAGCATACTGGATAAAGAAACTGTTTGTTTAAGAAGGCCAATAAAAAATTCTTCCTTTTTGATTTCATTAAATGGTGAGCTGAAGAATTATAGTATATGGGAACTCTTCAGTGATATGTTGTCGACTTTGAATATTTATTTGATAATTATCTTTTCTCCTAGACTCATGATGTTACATTATTTTTTTTTCTTATAGTCTGTCTCTCTTTCTCTCTCTCTTTTAAATTATCTTTCTAATTGCTACTTCTTCGGTACATTTTAACTTCCTGTCTCCAAGATCTATTTCTGGGATACCTGATCTCTTTTGTTAGTTATAACTTTTAGCAATATCAGAGAAGGCTTCACTTGTTATATTGCATGTGGTCCTTATAATTCTGACATTCTGTGGTCTTCTCCCTTCAAGTCACTGTGGTTTTTTGTTGTTGTTGTTGTTTTGTTTGTTTTGTTTTGAGACGGAGTCTCGCTCTGTCAACAGGCTGGAGTGCAAGGGCATGATCTTGGCTCACTGCAACCTCAGACTCCCTGGTTCCAGTGATTCTCCTGCCTCAGCCTCCCACGTAGCTGGGATTACAGGCACGCAACACCACGCCCAGCTAATTTTTGTCTTTTTAGTAGAGACGGGGTTTCATCATGTTGGCCAGGGTGGTCTCGATCTCCTGACTTTGTGATCTGTCCACCTCAGCCCCCAAAGTGCTGGGATTACAGGTGTAAGCCACTGCGCCCAGCCAAGTCAATGTTTTTAATCCTAAACTCTAACTGAAGTTCAATCAGTATTTCTTTATTCATTTATTCAACAAATATTTACTTGGAAAGTATTGTCAGGCACTGTGGGAGGCATTTAGAATATGACTGAAAACTAAACATGTACACTTTCTGTTTTTGTATAATTCAGCTGGAATAAAGAAAGAGCCCTCTGTCTGCTCCTCCAAATAGTTTTGTGTGTAGCTCTGCTAGCTAGTTGTCTTTCTGAGGGAAAAAATAGTTCTACACAGAAAAGAACTTAGGGAGACCTGCTGAGGGAAGAAAAAGAGTGGTACTGGAAGAGGAAATACGAGTAAAGAAAGAAGACATTAAAGAATGAGAAAGACAAATGGGCAGGGACTAAAGTTTGAACAGATTTGAGCAAATGCTGTGATGTGTGGAGCTTTGAGGAGAGAGATGTGGGAATGGAATAATTTCAGGAAATCTCTGCTGTATGTATTTCGAAGTTTAATCCCTTCTTTGATACTCCCTCAATAAAATTTTCAGTAGAGAACTACAGCACTAGTCAAGGGTCTGGAAATAGATATGTGGATTGGTGTTTAAATTGGATGTGTCCTAAGTAATGTGGTTTTTGGGACTGGGGGGTTCACTAAGCCCTATTTTGTGAAGGTTATTTCTGTAATAAAATTATATCTCGTGCTACACATGTGTATCTCTCGTACCCGGGTTAAACTCATGTTTATTTTATGTAGTTGACCCTTGGGAGTCATAAACTAAGACTTGACCCCTTAGTCAGAGAAGAGAGGCAGGTTAAATATCACTGCAGGGAATGTATATTTCCCAGGTCAATCATCTGCAGATGAAAACAAACCTTAAGCCAGAGAAGTTGCTTGCTGCATCGCTTAAGTCTCTCTTTTTTTTCCCCCTGGGTCTGGAATTTGAGTAGGCTCTCAGAGGCTGTGCAAAATTGTATGTATATATGGGGAGATTCATCAGATTCTCAGTGCTACCCAAAAGAGGTTAAAGTCATTGATCTAATTACACATTATATACTTTGTGCTAATTTCCCTTTTGTTGCTCTGAGTCTTTAGCCTTTCGGAAACAGCCTGGCGTCAACTCCGAATGGAAAATTAAAGGAAGGCATGTGCATTCAGGTTCATGGTAAAGTGTTAAAGTGGGGATGCCCCTGGCAAGGGTTCTACCCTCAAGCCAGTGCAATAGTGACAATATTCATTTATGACAAGTGTTCAAGGAAAAGATGACCAACAGGGGCAGTGTCAAGGCTGAGAGATTGACCACTTCCCCCTCCTTTCAACATGCCTTGGAGACTGACCAGACTCACTGACACACTGGCACATTGCTTACCTTGAAGAATTTAGTTTTTGTCTGATCAGGAAACCTGCAGTTTTCCTTATATTGCTTGCTAGATATTTTCCTACTTAAATCCCTCACCACAAACTCAACATGTTCAGAAGTAAGTTAACAGGCAACCCATCATCTTCCCAAATAAAATAGCATTACCTCCCCCAGAGTTTTCTTTGTCTATAAAATGTCCAAGCCATTTGGGATTATAACAGCTTTTACTTGTTCTTTTCACCTCAATATTTCCTACATCCTTGGTTATTTATTTAAATGGTTACCTTCTTCTGGTCTTCAACACTGTCACCCTTAAGCACCCAAAAAAAGGATTCCTCATGTAAATAGCAGCTCAGATTTATCTAGTACACAGAAATAACTTGAAAATCTTTTTCTTCTTTTACTTCCAAAATGTTTATTTTTAATATGGAACAATTATATTTGTTTGACACTATTTTAATTTTCCCAAATAAACATATTTAAAAACAAAATGCAACTAGAATATTTATCAAAAGACTGCTGAAAAGTTTAGGAATTAGCACTTGTTCTAGGACAGGAGTTTGGAAACTGAACCACTGGCCTATGCCGTTTAATATACATGAAGGTTAAGTATTTTAACCCTGGAGTCAGACTACTATGGGTGTCACCAACTAACTCTGCAACCTTAGTGAAGTTGCTTCACTTTGCTAACCCTAATCTGTCTTAATCTGCAATAGCATAATTTCATACTATATATGAATAGCATTTGCCTTGGAGATTCAAAGTATAGGTAAATGAGTTAATAAACATAAATAGCTCAGCATAGGATTTAGCATACAGTGAGCTACCAATAAATGAAAGATATAATAAGTACAGTTACTATTTTTGAATTTATATTATGCTTTTTGTTTCAACTTTTCACTAATGGTAAGTTCCTTTCTTAAATATATGTGCTGATTCATTAAACTAAGCCAATCATTCGGATATCTAGTTTATCTTATGGGAAATCATTAATACGCTAATTTTTATATTGAAACTGGTTGCTACTTTTTAAATATTTATGGTGAGAAAAACTCTTTCAGAAAAGTTATGGCTTCACAGGATTTTATTACTCTTAATGTGAGAATTTTGACTATGTGACTAGTTTCAGAAAAATGGACTTCAATTTAGCCTCTCTGTGACTAAAAATGAATGGAGATACTACTGTCTGATCCAGGTCTAAAAAAGTCACTTAAAAGAATCCCCTTTGGGCAATACTGCAGATGGGCTTTCTGCACCACTGAATTCCACATTTCCTCATAATTAAAAGGGTAGGTAAAGCCCTCCTCACTTACATCTTAAACCCAAGGATGTTTACCTATGTACATCCAAAAAATGCTGGCCTTTTTCCAACAGAGAGAAATAGTGATTTATTAATATTATTCCTTAGTGTGATAAAAGATTATGAAAACAAAGACTTTATAGCTGAAAACCCTTGGTTTTCAGGGCAGATGTTGGAACAGAGTTAGTGAATAGTAATGTTTAACTCTTTTAGTGAAGCTAACACAGCTGAGTGAAGAGTGTTAAAACCAAATGTGTATGAAATTATACACTTACTCATTACAACTTGTTGAATATAATAGACTTATTTGGTTAAGAATTATCCTTGCTACATCTTGCATGAATCTTTATTTGATAGGGAGGATAAAGGAAATAGTGCTCCCTGATGCATAACTAATTCTCAGAGAGATAAAGAAAATGTAGAAGAGATCATGATGCTCACGTTACCTCATATCACACATCTAGGCACAAAGGAGCTCAAGTATGAATGAAAAGTGTCATGGGGTAGTGAATAGAGATTGTCATATGAAGATTCACACCTGGTTCTAGCTCTTCCTAGCTGTGCAGCCTTGTATTCAACTAACTCTTACATGTTTGAGCTTTAATTTCTTCATCTGTAAAAATAGATTAAGGATGGTTCTTTTAAAGTTTCTAGCATAAGGTGTTTCATTAAAGTAGAGCTAAAATGTGTAGAACATATCCTAAGTATGATGAAATGAGAACTAAATTTTTCCTACATACAGAGAGGAAATAAAGAGATAAGTGATTTATCAGTAATTATTTATCATTTACTATTGATATGGACAGGAGGCAGGGAAATACTAGGTAGAAATGGGCGGGGTCCCTGACAAGGGTTCCACCCTCAAGCCTGGACCTGAAGCCCTAAATGAGAAGTTCACATCCCTGTTTTCACACCTGAATGTCACCTTTTGGTCTGCCATGCCTCCTATCCTGTGCCCATAAAAACCCCAGGCTTCACTGGCAAAGGAGCAGAGCGATGCAGCAGAGGAGAGAGGAGAAGAAGCAACTGAACATCAAGAGAAGAGGCAGCTGGACATAGGAGATTATGGTCAGAGAGGTGTTCAGCCAGGGACAGACAAACTCACGCAGAAGACTATGTTTCCACTCTATTCCCTTTCCAGCTTCCCATCCCACTGAGAGCTACTTCCACCACTCAGTGCAACCTTTGCATTCACCATCCTTCCAGTCTGTATGGCCTCATTCCTCTTGAGCACCAGACAAGGATCTGGGTGTAGGTGCAAGAGGCTGTCACACTGACTGTCCACTGAGCTGTTTAACACTTAGCCTTCCAAGGATGGCAAATGCTGAAAGAGCACTTATTGTAACACATGCCCTCTGGGGCTCCAGTGGTCACATGCAACCGCTAGTTGCTGCCACGGGCCAGTTTCTTCCTGTTGGTGCCCAAAGGCACTTGCCCCACCTGCTGCACCTGCTCACCTGCGTGCTCCCCCTCCCACATGGGCTTTGAGCACAGCTGCCATGTAAACAAGCCATCCCTGTCACAAGTCCTGGGAGGGGGTCAAGGGAACTTTTCCATCTCACTATGTGCCAGGCTGTTTGCTAGGCGTTAGTGGTAAGCATGGACACTGAACTCATGGGACTTTCAACTGCTGATGCAACTAGATCACTAGATGTGGTTTTCTTAATATGCTTTATTAAGTTGATCAATGTGTATATGAATCTATGTAATTGTTTTTTAGGGCACTTGTTAAGTTAATGATTTAATTTGCAATTTCCTAACATAACCTTTTCTCCTTTTCCAAAAGTTTAAGTCAGAAATGCAATTTTCACACAGACCTGGGACAAAGCATGAGTCTAGTGAAACCACGTATAAAGAAAGCCTAGTGAAACTAAAAACACATTAGCTCGTGTCGTGTTTTGTATGCATAATAGTCATATCATGTATATGTTTTATATATAATTTCTACTTATTTGTTTTTTCCTGGAAATAAGGCAATATTTAAACCATTTCATGAACATGATTATCTTTTTGCAAATAAATATTTTCATTTAGAGTGTTAAAACATCTCGAACCATACTATATTCTATAATGGTTCCTCATGGGCACCAACTTAAGTACCTGATGCTATTCTTCCTTCAGTTGAAATAGGTGATATTTTGGATGTGGAAATAGTGGCATCATAAATTAGAATGTGCTAGATCATGGGCATTGTTAATGGTAATAGCTAGCATTTATTAAACACATATCATGTGTTAAGAACTGTGATAAGTGATTTAGGTGGAGTGATTTATTTATCTCTCTCTGTAACTCTATAAGGCAGGCAACATTATAAACCTTTTATATAAATAAACTGAGGCTTAAAGAAGTGTAGCGACTTGGTACAATCCCACAGCTCATAATTGGTATATATGAAATTACACCAATTTAGAGCCTGCCCTCTTAACCATCACTCTAAAATGCTTCCCATGAAACTGAGGTATCTGTTGGAAACCAAGTTATCTTTCATACCAGGTGTTCTTTAAACTTCACTGTGTTTACTTCTACTTTTCTCATAACCTCTGTAATCATCCACTTATTGAGTTGCAGCTCACGGTATGTGTGTGGGAGGTTGCAGATAACATACCAGCGGTTTGTGCTCTTACTCACGCTTGCCAGCTGTTCTGGCACAATATTTATTTGCCCCGTAAATCCTAGACTGTTCCTTTTTATATATATGAAAAATCTGTCAATTGACAGTTCGCCTTATTTTTCTACTGAAAACACTGGAACATGAGATATCCTTGACTTCAGGTTCACAGTCTCCAAATAAATGGAATCCTGGGCAGAAAGCCTGATAGCATAGAAGTATGACACAACAGTATTTGCGTCTACTCACAAAAATTCCACCGAATCTAAGTCAAGGAGCCACCCTTCCCCCAGAATTTTGTCAATTACGCTCTACTTTCATAAACACAGGAAGGGGTTAATGAAGGTTAAATTATTCTAATTTAGTTGCAAATATGCCAGCATCACATTTGAGCTATGTGACAGGTGTCAGGCATACATGCTTCCTTCCAAAAAGCCCACATGATGGTCTCCCAGTCACTGGCATTATCTTTGCATTATCTAATACCATATGGCAGAAATGCCATTCACTTAATAAAAGGAACTGGTCCTTCTTGTCTTTCTTTTCCTGTTGCTTCTCCTCTACTCGGATAAACAATGTTATATAATTGTTTTGAGATTATTGGTAGTAATGCACTAATCAACCATTACATCATTCCCTCACCCCAAATTTCAATCTTTAAAACACATTGCTTTGAGTTTCTAGCAAAAATATTTCGATACATCCACTTCCCCCTTGGAAATCGTTCCATCTTTTCCTTGATTTGTGGAATATTTATTGTTCCCTTGTTAGTTCATTAACTTTTCTTTTCCATTAAGCGGTCTGTCTGTTTTGACAGTACCTTCTGGCAGCTAAAATGCTAAATGCAAAGTAATTTAGGGTTAAGGGGAGGACATTCTGTAGTCATTAAAAAAATAGATCTCTCTCTTTAGGATGGAATTTGAAAGATATTATCATATTGTTACTTAATTTCTAAGAAAGTGTTCAGCTATACCAGAGCTAATTCTCTAGAGAGATTATTCTTAAAGTAGAGAGGGAAAAAATAAGTGCCATGGAGTGATAAGGCATTGGTCACTCCTTTTCCGGTAACGGACATAACTAATGTTTCTGATATTTACTCTGCCCCTAGGCTAGCTCTCAAATTCCCTCGCATGTGCAAAACATTTTTGTAGTCCTGCCTCAGCCTCCAGGTATTTTTGATATGTTCATATAATAGGAAAACTGTAGAGAGTCAATATGACAGACTGCAGTATACCTGTATCCTGTTTCCATGTCGGCTAGGTCTTGCATTCTACATTTTAAGGAGTCATGGTGTTTAGGGGAAAAGGCTTTTAATTATGTCCTGTTTTCAATAGCTATTGGGCAAGCATGAAAACCTTTGAAGTTAGCTATTGCCTTACAATACATACATCAGCAAATAGAAGCCAAAAATATACACTATTTTCTTCTATTTTTATAACTGTTCATGTACTGATGCCCAGGGGCTTCATCATTTCTGGCCATTTTCTCCTAAGTTGCAAATTGCAGACTCAATTGAGTGGCATATTTAAGTTTAATGGATATTTACAGTAATCTCTATCCTTAGTGTGCTATGGAAACTTGTTCCCTCCTGGAGATACAATTATTATACCCAGGTGTTTGGTTTTTGCATTTTAGGATTTCTAAGTATTTGAGGGAAAAAAATGCCTAATATATTTATATTTTTATAATTATGTGAATAGATACAAGTAAAGCTGCTTGAATCTGGATGTGTATTATACATCTATACATATATATTATATATATATATATATATATCAGTAAAATCAAATGTAATACTAAGAACATTTCTTAACAACTTTTAAAAATAATGTTTTCCAAAATACTCAGCTGATAGAAAATCCATCAGTAAGTCTCAGTTCCCCTGTGTCACATATGAAAGGTATCATGGTACCCTCAAGAGCTTACCACATACTCATTCCATACCAGGGCTTAAAGATCATTTTGTTTTATTCTTTCTTAATGGGGAGGACCCTAAAATATGGTAGTGAAAGCAAGAGGGCTAAGAGTCCTAAAGCACACTGCAGTGCTGGATAACATCTGAGTTAGTGACTTTAGCTATATCTCATTTTAATAGAAACAATTGCCCAGTAGAAAGGGTTCAAAGCAGAACAAACATGAGAGAATGCACTCAGAACAGTGGCATATAGGGAGTATCTGAAGGCATCAAGAAAGGTTTAACTAAAAAGAGAAGGTTTAAAAAAGGAGCATGGACATACAACGGCTGCCTGCATCTAATTAAAGGGCTGCCCTGTAAGACATCTTATTTGGTTCCGAACCAGAGTACAGAAGTGGGACAGTAAGGTGGCAGTCATAAGGAGGAACATCCCGCCTCAGTACACAGAAGTTTCTGATAAAATGATCTTCTTTTAATGCTAACAGTTGCGTTGTATAAGAGAGGTGTTCCTCTTCCCGTTCCTCTGGAAAAAAAAAAATTATGATATTCTGTAGAGAAGAAACTTACATTGAGTTACACTAGATAATAGCTGTATTAATTTGGTAGGACTGCCATAACAAAATACCACTCAGACTAGGTGGCTTAAGCCATTGAATTTTTTTTTTCTCACAGTTCTGGATACTGAAAGTCCAAAATAAAGGTGTTGGCAGGTTTGGTTTCCTCTGAAGCCTCTCCAGCTTGCAGATGGCCATTGGTTCCTCACATGGTTCTCCCACTGTGCATGCATTACTCATATCCTCATATCTCTCTCTGTATTCTCTTATTATAAGGACACCAGTCAGATTGAATTAGGACCCACCCTAACAGCCTCATTTTAATTTAATCACCTCTTTGACAGCCCTATATCTAAAGACAGTCACATTCTGAGGAACTAGGGGTTTAGGCTTCAACATATGAATTTGAGTGGGTGAGTGAGGGGGAGCACATTTCAGCTCTAAACAATATCTAAGTTCATTTCTGACTTCCAAGAGTTCTTCTTAAGGAGAGAAGGGAAAATTCAGACCATACTGAAGACTGCTCTCTGGAAAAGGAAAAAAATCTCAACCGAAACAAATGATTGGGCAATTCTGTCAGCATACTTCCCCAAATTAATTCCTACCACCAGAGGGGTCCCTTGTCATCTGTCTGCAAATGCAGGTTTAGCCATAAACTGTGCTCTTTGGCTCCTGGATGAATGTGGAGAGGATTAAATTCATTATAATATTAAATAGATCAGGTGGAATTAGCTCTCAGCAGAGAGCAGCTGCTGGCTCCAGCAGTGTTGTGACAAGCTCCGCCAATTATGCAATGCAAATATAATCATCTGACTTCCACCATTTCCAGGCCTTGACAAGCCCTGCAAATCTGTTGGGCAATTTCTTCCGATCTGGTTCCATACATGTTAGCTTGACAGTGGCTATCTCAGAGGCCGGTGCACATCTTTGACAATCATTCAAGACTAAAGCTAAAATAAGATAAATCTGGACCTAAAGTCATCAAGGGAGAAAAATCCAGGCACACTTATTCATTTTACCCTTATTAATGCAGCTGATATTGAGTTAACTACTAGTGCTGCTGCCTGATTTTCGCTCACAGCAGTGGATTGAAGGTGGTGTACAGGTACTATAGCACCCACTCTATTATTAAGGAAGTTTAACTTTGCTGAGTTTGTGCATGTATGATTCATAACAATATATTGGCTTGAAAGACTATGATGTATTTTTACATGGCAGAAAGTACTAAGAAGTTGCCTTTGGTTTTGTTGGATTAGACAGATCAAGGTTGTGTTGAAATTATTTAATAGCTAGAATGAAGTCAGTTGAGCAGATCAAAGTGTACCCTCACACAGAGTTTTAAAACAAATTTAGGCAATATCCATACAGATGTTAATGAGCAGCTGATGGGAAGTCCTTAATTTGGAGGAATAAGTGTAGCTGCTCAACCTGCTTACAAATTTGATCATTGAAGGATATTAAGTACAAGACAGAAAGAAGACTGTTCACTGAGATTACTCACAAATGCAGTGAAAAGTGCTTGTTATCCCAATTATTTGTCAATGGAGACTTAGGCCTAAGAGGTTATGTACTCTGGTAGCAATACAGAAGGCATCAGTTTCCACTAATCATAAAATCAGACCAAAGTAATGCCACCTGCAACTGCTATTCTTATGTAAAAATGAATTTGGTTATTTTTTTTCTGTGCCTGTATGTGCTTTTTCTGGAGTTAGATTGCTTCCAGGAAGGTTATATGCTACTTCGATGTTGATATCTCAGGAGAAAATTAGAAGAATAAAAATAAAGACAGTTTGTGAAAAGTTTGTGAAAAGAAGAACACCACCTCCCTTTACAACTGTCTTCTCTGATTCAAAGTTTGTAAGCAGTGTCAAAAGTGGAGGGCTGCATTTTCTACATACCCTCATATTGGAAGGAATCCTTGACACTGCAACCACCTGACAAGCATTCTGATGAACATTAACATGCTACCCTGTACTAATATCTTAACAAGAGGAGTGTATTAGTTCATATTCACATCCTCCCAAGTAAAATATGACCATCTTGTCCATGGGCTTTTGAGGACACTGTTTTATCTTTCCCTGTACCTCACTATACACACATATACTCACAACATGGTTGTCTTAAGCAGGGAACAATGGTAACAGGCAATTCCAGGAGTGAATAACTCACAAGCTAGTTATCTGGGCATAGGATCCTTAGGGCTACCCTGTGGAGGTGAATATTTATTTCTGTTTATTTCTGCTCTCATGCCCTCTATACTGATACATGTTTGGTCATGAACAGTGCAGGTTGCATTCTAAAGCTTCTTTCATAAGCATATTTTTTTCTGAAATTTGAAAAAATTATTTTACACAAAAACTGTTCTCTTTCTGGCCAGATAAGAGCTGTTTTTAACCTTAATAATGCAAAATTCAAAGTTTATCCCTGTCTTTTTTTTCTGGACCAGTTATTTAGCCCCACTTTGTTTTGGCCCCACTATCTCCAAAATTTGTAATTGCATCACAATTTTATATTAGTACTTACAAGAAAATTCCTTCTTATTCATTCTTTCATTTATGCTAGGAAATATGTATTGAGCATCTCTTATACGCCAGGTACTGAAGGAGAAACTAGAGATAGAGATGAACGTGACTTGATTCAGTTTCGAGGGGAGATCCATGCAAACCAAAGCTTAGGGTAGTGTGTGACACATATTTTGATATAGTGATTTTCATGTTCTGGGAATCCACAGGAGGACACGTATCTCAGCATGGGGAGGAGTGTGGGTCTTTTTGTACACCAGTGTGTCTTATTGCTTAGAGAAAGGTCTGCAGGCATATTCTCTTTTCTTGGAGTAATATCCAAAAAGTTAACGTGTTTTCATTTCCTTTGTAGTGGTCACCACCTGCGACTACTAGTTGAGGATTTTGTACTCACTCCTACTAACTATTCCTATTCACTACACCTGGCTTCAGACTGGGACACCTCTCCTCGCCATTCATTCTTTCTGGCCCTTGGAAGGATTTTACTATTAAATCTATCAGGAAACAGACACAATCCTGAAAGTGATAATTGAACTGTCTCACAAAACGAGTGAAAGTTGTGAAAGGTGAATGGAGGTAAAGGGGGTCCAGGAAGCTGATTTTCTTAAGTCGAGAAAGAGAAGATGGACATAGAGGTGCAGATGCAAGATAGCATAGAATTTCCTCTGAACTGTGTGACCGTAACGTGCAGAGAGTGCACCCCTTCCGCGAGAAGGTTGCCTTTGTGAGATTTTCAGTTGACTGACACATTCTTAAATATATGTGTCTTGTCCTTGACGATGATCTGTTCATCCGCTGGAAGTAAATTTCGAACTTGTCGCTTTCTCCTCTCAGCTATTGATTACAGTAAATCAAGCAAGCAAAAAAATACTTCCTTCTATATGATCCCTCCCCTTCCCCTGCTGCTTTTTCTTTCAATCTTAGTATTAGCTTTAAACTCTCAATCTCTCTTAAAACATTCAGGGGAAGATAATCAGGAACCAGAAGCCAGTGGCATAGTTTTACTAGTGTATGCAAAAGACAAATTTGACCTGCATTTCAATGAAAGACCTAAGCTTTATGTGTTATTGGGGACTTCATCAAGGGAATTTGAATAAGGAAGGGACAAAGAAATGAATGAAGAGATGGATATGTCAAAAAAACCAAGAGGCTAGAATTAGCTTGTCCACATGATAGAATCCAGATTGGTGTTTATGGCCCTGTCCCTTTCTTATCTTTTACCCTGGCCTTGTTATTACAATGCCCATAAAGGACTGGTCTTAGAGTGAAGCTCAAAGCAGGAATGATGTGATAGCAAAGGGGCAGGAATCTTATTCCATTATTCAACTAGTATTTGTTTGGGGCCTACTCTGGGGAAGCAGAGGTAGAAAAAAAGTTATCCACCTTTAAATGACTTTATTATATTTTCATCTTTAGTGAAATAAAAGCCATTGCAAACTAAGTCTCCAAGGCAACAGTATATCCAAGGAACAGAAAAGTAGAGGCATTGGAGTAAATCAGATGCATATTTAAACCTTATTTATATCTTTGGAAGATTACTTCACATCTGAGTTTCAGACTTTGACGATTCAATGGTGATAGTAATACCTGCTTCATAAGTTCAGTGTGAGGATTAGCTACTTCCTGATAGAAACAAGCATTAAGAAATGGTACAAATTATATTAGGTGACATAATAATGTGACATCATAGGGCACTATGACATGACAGGACAGAGCCTCTTGTGGTGTGATGCCAATATGTATGTACACACATATGTATAGCTTCTGCCCTTGGCAGAATCTCAGTTTCACTCTACAGTTTCCTCCCCCTGAATATACTGTTTTGCAATCCAGGTAGCATCTTCATTCTTACTTCACAGACATAAGACCATTCAGGGGCAGTGCTGGGTTAAATGAATAAATATGAACACACTGTGATTATATATGTGTAGGCATGTCACAACATCAAACCTCAAGAGACTTTGTCCCATTATGATAGAAAGAAACCGCTATGGATGCTTTGTCATGAGAATGTACAGTTTCATGACTGTTTCACCGAAGTATTTCCTCTTTAATTGGGTTTATCATGAGGAACCCCTAGATACTACATGGTTGGTCAGATTGGGCACATTTTACTATTTTCTTAATGGCGAATCCCTATCGGAATTGAATAAATCAGTAATATAAAACAAAAAAAAATGCACCTTGCAAAAATCATAAAATGGCCTCTTGAGGCAGAGAAAAGAAACAAAATTCAGAGCTATGAATTTCCAGGGAGAATATGACAGTGAAAACCAGAGCTGCAATTTTATTGGTTTTTTTTTTCCCCCTTTTCCTTGACCCTGGAGAATACACAAATAAAATCAATTAATGGGCCTTGAAGAAGAATCACTTTAAACTGTTCAATTAAACCCCGCAATGCAGAGAACAGAAGGGAGAAAAAAAAAACAAAACAATAAATACGTCTTAAAAAATGGACTTGTCAGAGGCGCCAGGGTCCCGACATGCACCATTACTGACGGATCGAATAGCACTTCCATTAACACCATAATCTTATAGACTCCACAGCCTGTAAAAAAGGGATTTACTTTAATCAGGTTTGGTTAGGACTGAATTTGAAAAGCTCTACAAGTGGAATAAAACATGACCTCTCCCTCTTTGATTTTTCTCCAGCATTGGTTCCCAAGTATGTAATTTGCTGTCCACTGATGGGTCATTTTTAATGACTGTGATCTGCTGGTACATTTCTCTCCTTTGGTGATAGTAATCATTAATACAAACCTTCAGTATTTCTTCCTATTTTTCTTCATCTAATCATTTCATTTAACAGTCATCATTACCTTCAAGATAGTTGTCCCAGATCTTCTTTTAGGCAAGTACTTAATCTAGGCTTTTCCAAAGTTTCCAAAGAATTTTCATAAGTTTTACTTAAGTAAGAATGCAAGGCTGTAGTGCACACACTATGATTGCATCTGTGAATAGCCACTGCATTGCAGCCTGGGCAACATAGCCAGATCCCCATTTCTTAAAAAAAAAAAAAGTAAAACAGCATGTCCCATGCTTTGGGTACATGCTGGGTTAAACAAAGCCAGACAGCTTTCTTTTGTCAGTGCTTTTACTATGCTAATATACTTCCCATTACTCTGCAGAGGGGTTAGGGTATGTAGTGTTGACAACACTTATGTGTCTGTGGGACATTTTTAGAGCTTCTTATGAGACTTATGTTCCAGAGAAAGCACTGAGAATCACTGACTTAGGCAGCTTTTATTTATCTCACTCAGTAAATTCCCTGCAATAATTTGATTGCTGCCTTGTTGGTAATAAGCACTCACCCAGAGGGTGGCTGGAGTGACTATGGCAGGCCAGATGAGATGAATGGCCATTAAGTAGGCTGGGAAGTCTATAAATCTAAAAGGTGTCAGAATAATCTCTTCTCACTGCTTTTTGCTTCATACTTTGGCCTCCCAATTTATCAAAAGACACCAGCTCAATATCAAGTTGAATTTCTCCTGCCTTCCTTCACAGATCAGGGGGTCTAAGAAGACATGTAATGTAGTGTCAAGAAACAGTTGCTGTTGTCCTGTTATTTACACTGAGTGTGTATGTTTTTCAATATTAAGATGAACTGTGTTTTGTTCAGTATAGATTTTTAATTTGTAAGAATAATAAAGGCCATTGAGCCATAACTGTTTTATTGGGCCACATAATGCTATATGACTTAAATGATCATAGCTGAGTACTGGTTACATGAGAGTCAGGCTGATATTGAATCTCTCTTTCTTAATGTAAACCCTAACCCTTTGTATAATCTGTGCTTTATATGTTCACACCTTACCATTTATTTTTTTCAGGATTTGACTAAGATTTTTTTCAGACTAAACTAAATTAACTTTCTTTGCTATTTTGATGTTTTTCTCTTATCAACTAGGAACAGTCACAAGAACAAGAGAAGGGGAGGCTTATGAAACAGAGGCAGTTGTGGTTCAACTGTGTCTAAGAAAATTCTGCTATAGGAGGAGGAAAGTAGAAAATTCTGGATTATCTGCATGGTAGCCTAATTAGGATTATCTGCATCCAAGGTGCAAAAGAACAAAGGGTATCTTAGAGGAGAAGTAACTAAAACTAGATTTGATGAAGGAAAAAAAGAAAAAAAAGAAAAGAAAGACCAAGCAAGAAATATACTGGCAGAAACATGGATAGGGAGGAACGAGGAATAAAGAAATTACAAAGAGCATGAGAAAAGGGGTTGATTGGTTATGGAATACCAGGGAAAGCAGCACAGAGAAGATGAGCAAATATGATAATACTAGCATAATAAAGACCCCCAAATTAAAGGATCTCATGGAGGATTTGGTCCTAGAATTGCAAGATTAATTCTAGAAGCATTTTTAAAAGCCCCAAAAAGCATAAAATTCACTTCAAAAGAGTTCCAATTTTAAAAGCTCCCTAGAGGCATTGTAATAGAAAAGGGCTTTTAAATGCTATTTCTATTTTTTTTCCCCTGTTTTCCTTAGGGGCTGTCTCAGAGGGATGATTTATTGTCTATTATATTTAAAGTGACAGGGCCAATTTTTGAAGGCCTGCTGCGGTGGTGCTAGCACAAAGTACATGGGATTGCAGAATGTGCCCTGTACACAGCCAGTCAGTACCTGGCTTCTGTTTGGCTTTCAGCAGCATGACTAACAGCAATGAAGTGAGGGGCATGTGAGCCTCTACTATTATGAGTAGAATAATCCTGTTTTTCACCTGTAAGTGAGACTAATTATTAGATTACATTTTTTTTTCATCAAGGAAAATGAACACAGCTTCTTCCAAAAGAAGATCCAAAGGCATATTTCCTTCAAGCCAGTATGAAAAGTCCCACTTTTATTTATTCAATGAATACTTATATGCCTGTGCAATGTGTCCCAAGCACTAGTCTAACTGCTTTGCATAGAAGTAAGTAATAGTAGGGGAGAGAGAGACAGAGAAAGAGAGTATTAAAACAAACAAACAAACAAAAAACCCGTCTCTAGACCTATAAAATTCCAAGGAATTTAGATCTAAAGACTTGAATTAGAGTCCAGATTGTGTATATGGAAGCTCTGAGTGACCTTGAGTGAGTCATTCAACCCCTTTGAATAAGGAAAGCATTAATATATGATCTGCTTACCTTGCAGAGTGCTGCAATAATCAATTCAACAGAAGACACGGTGTGCCAACACTTTGAAAGTTTTATAATTAATATGGTTAACCATGATTGTCAAGTTCGCTCCCAATTATTACTTCCATAATTTTTAGTGCTTTGTGGAATTGAGGACATTTTGGACAATATACATTATATCAGAGCTCAGAATCATACTTCATGGTATAATAAAGTGAAATAGTACATTCCTTTAGAATAGACATGTTTTCTAATAAAACTACCTTATTAGAATAATATAAAAAGTCTTATATTTTCCCTTTTCATATTAGATTCTTTCACAAATTATTTTTGTTTTTACTTTTTCTGATTAATGTGATATTCATTGTAGAAAACAAGAAAACACATGAAAATCAAAAGAAAATACAAAGACCATTGGTGATCCTATTACCAATATTTAAGCAATATAACACTTTGTTGTATTTTCTTCTAGTCTTGGAAATAATATCTGAACAGTAATAATTTTTCAACATAATTTTGAGAAGAATCTACTCTTTGTTGGCCTTTTTTCCTACCTAATATCATTCTTTTGAGTAAAATAATTCACTTAAATATACAACAAGTTGAAATTACATGTATTTCATTAGTTCATGATTTCCTTAGCTTGGGATTTTTTCATAAAATATTTTTACAAGTGTAGTACTGTAATGAATACATTCATACATACATTTTTATCCTTATTCATGATTATTTTCTTAGAAATCATAGATTTCTAGAAGCAAATTTTTTTGAATTATGTTGACATTTTTATGGCTATTTGTAAAGATTTACCAAGCCTTTCATGGACATTTTCACTATCATTAGGAACTATTCCAAGATGCTTTCTCTCCACACCTGCATCAGCAGTGAGAAATATCCTTTGGTTATGGTTTTTGAATGTATTATCTAATGTAATTTTAATGCAGATTTAATATAAAAATATAAAACATGTTTTAATTATTTTTTGATGCAGGCTAAATTGTAGTCACATTATACTTTATAAAAGTAATCAGTTCTCTGGGTTCCATTATGAAATATTTGAGTCTGCTTATTAACATGTTTATACAATATAATATTTATAATGGAAAAAATGATTTTACAAAAAAGGATGAAATAAATATGAATGAGAAATTTACTCTGAGTTTCCTGGCATCTAAAATAGAAGTTTATTTATATTTTCATTAATGAGTAGAAGAACACATACTAATTATTTAAGAAAGATAGTGTTCGTGATAGTACATGCTGAAATGAATTTACTTTATGGAATTTTAAAGAGCGGGTACTTTTAAAGATGATGCCTTTAACAGCGTTATAGCAAATAAAAAAATGCTTTATTTAAGAGCTTCTTATATTTGCCCTCAGTAAACTCTCAGAGAAGATCATTAAAATATAGACTGGTAGATTTGAGAAGGATTAAGTTATGTTTGTCTAAAACTAATAATGTTCCAATGACTGACTTATTTTGATATAAAGAAGGAACTTAGAATACCTGTATGTATGCTAAAGACTTTATGTCCTTGTTTTACAGATAACGATAGTGAGGTTTAGAGAGGTTAATCCATTTTCTCAAGGTCATGCAGCTAGACAACATTGGAACTAGAACTTGAATCTAAGGCCACATTCTCAGCTATAGGCACTTCTACTTCCAAATTCCTAGAAGTAGAATTGCTGAATAAAATGGTATCATTAGCATTTCATTAAAAGCAGTAAAGAAAACAAAAGGAAGAGAAATCTGCCAAAGACATTTTTTTTTTCTAAATCAGGCTGCTGACATTTAGGATTTTTCTGAAGGTCAAAGAAAAAAAAAAGAGTTTAGATGTATTATCTAAAGATGTGAGAATTTTTTCCCATGGAATTTATTCAAATATGTCATCTTTTCTCATATCTCCCATTTGCCGTTGATTGTGCTTCAGTCTGGACAGACCAAGGAGACAAAAAAGGGTAGACATCTTGGTTCTGAATCAAGAAAACATTTCTGTTAGAATTCCCACGTTATGAACGATGTGTAAAATACTCTGCCATTTTTGCCACATTAACTAGGAAGTTAATAAATTGATGCTAAATGTTCAAAATATTTGTTGTTATTGACATTGTTTGTTTAAATATTTTGACTTTCATAGTTTATTTTCATCTCATCAGATCACCTAGGTTGAATGTTGTTATTTTTAAAATACACTTATCCATTTTTAGATAACCTGTAATTTATACATACAATCAACTTTCATTTATTCAGGAGCTATTTACACAATTCAATAATTAGATGGGCTGCCTTATTACTTTTCATCTTTTGGCCATTCATTGATACCACTTCCTTAGGGTACAAGAAAGGAAAAAGGCATGGGAGATGCTTACCCCAGGTTGTTATATTTCAGCTTTTGCAAAAGTTATGTAATAGATAAAAATCAGTGGTTTAAAATTTTCTGTGCTATATATTCCGTCATCAGTAATGGCAAGACAACAGGATGAAAATCAATTTTTCACATATAGCTATTCCAGAAGGCTAATACCAAGTAAATAAATAAAATAATGAAATTTAAAAAGCTGACCTCTATTGTCTATTAACTAATTTACCTATTTTTATTAAGAGGGATGTTGAAAGCACATCCACCTTCACTTGAATATCTCTAGTCCTGTTTTTCTGAAAATTTTTAAAGAGCTGGTAAAATAACGAGTACTCGTATAGTGTTTACTGTGTTTTAAGAACTATTACAAAATCTTTATATATATTAAACTCATTTAAATTGTAAAAACTTTATATGATAGATATATTGTTATGTTCATGTCTCAGATGCAGAAACTGTGGCATGTCCAAGGTTATACATCTAGCAAGTGGCAGAGCCAGGATTTGAATGAAAACAGCTAACCTAGAGCTTGTGCTCTTAAACATCACTCCCTACAATTCTGTCACGTGCGGTCTTTTCATAGTAGTCAATATGTATGCCTTCTTTCATAGATTATTCATTCTCTAAAAACTCTACCATTTGTTAGTGTTAGATTTTATTCCTTCTACTGTATGCTTAAGAATTTACAGAATTTACATTTGTCTTAGTCTGTTTGGGGTGCTGTAACAAAATACCTTAGATTGATTTAAAAAAAAAGAATTTTATTTTATCATAGTTGTGGAGGCTAGGAAGGCCAAGGTCAAGGTTCTGGCAGATGTGTGTGTGGTAAGGGCGTGTTTCTCATGGACAGCACCTTCTGTGAGTCCTCACAGGTAGCAGGGGTCAACAAGGAACATATTTGCTCTCTAGAGCTCTTTCTAAGGGCACTAGTTCCACCCTGAGGCCTAATCACCTCCCAAAGGTCCCACCTCTCAATACCATCACTTCACTAAGTTCCAACATAGGAATTTTGGAGGGACACGTATATTCAGATATTTAAGTCTATTAATGTTCTATTTTCCCATCATGACAGTTAACTAAGAAATACATATTTCTCAAGACTTAACATGCTTTTTCTATATGTAAAATAAATAGCTGTAGAATTCTTCTATGGTAATAGAATCAAGGAGTTTTAGAACTACAAGTATCTCAGAAGTCATGCAGTCTAGATGCTTACTTGACATGTGAATCTCTTTTACCGGGAGAGTCTTTCCCTGGTTTCTTTTGAGCCCCATCTCCCATCAGAGAACTCACTATTTATTAGGAAAGTCATTTTACTTATTTAAAAAAATCTCTTCATTTGTGTCAAAATCTATCTCTCTAAAGTATTTTGCTTGTGGATCCACTCAGAATAAATCTAAATCTTTTCCCCATTAAAAAGCCTTTAAAATAGACTGATTATTTTGCCATTGTTTCCCTCAAACATGCTCTCTCTTGATCCATTTCCTTCAATTTTTCTTTGACTGACAGTGCCCAAGTCTTCTTCACCATCACACGTCCTCTTCACTTGACCTAAAATTTGTTATATCTTTAATGTTGTGGCATTGATCTGTATTTGATCTTTACAATGACAACTGTGGAATAGAGCAGATCTAGTTCATTTTGTACCCTGCTTTTATTATGCCTTAGCTTTTCTCCTTAAATTTGGGGAAGTAAGTTGATAATCTCTCTATTTAAGTATATTTTACCCATGTCAGTCATCAATAAATATGTTGAATGAGATAAAGCATTGAATGGAGGCTTTGCTAGGCTATTAGTTTTTCCTTCAGAGTGATATAAATCCACATGTTTACATGCTTAGATGGTTATTCTATTAAGATCATACTTAACTAGTTTGCAATCCAGCCAAAGTTTTTCCATTTATTTTTAACAACTGCCACATTTGTTCTATTTTCATTAAATTTGAACAACAAAACTGTGACTACATCCAAGAAATCATAGGTGCTTTTTTGACATAATGTTACTTTTAAAGGAGCCTGTTGCCTTCTATGATGATTGTTGAGCATTGATATGGATCTTTATAAAAAAATAGCGTACAATCGTTTTTATTAGCTATTCTTTTAAACAGTCACATGAAGTACTTTAGCATTTAACTCATAAAAGACTTTAGGCTGCCATTGCTCCAGTCAAAACATTCTCTTCAGCTGTTAGATCAAGTTTCAGTTTTATTTAGGAGCGTACAAGTGCCCCCACTTCCTCCATCAGCCTCCTTAAAAATGGGGAAGTAGGCTGGGCATGGTGGCTCAGGCCTGTCATCCCAGCACTTTGGGAGGCTGAGCCTTAGTGGATCATGAGGTCAAGAGATCAAGACCATCCTGGCCAACATGGTGAAACCTTGTCTTTACTAAAAATGAGAAAATTAGCTGGGCATGGTGGTGTGAGCCTGTAGTGCCAGCTACTCAGGAGGCTGAGGCAGGAGAATCACTTGCACTCAGAAGGCAGAGGTTGCAGTGAGCCGAGATTGCACCACTGCACTCCAGCCTAGCAACAGAGTGAGATTCTTTCTCAAAGAAAAAAAAAAAATGGGGAAGTGACAATGAAGAAAAGAAGCATCTTGCTGCAAAGTAACCAACAAGCCATTAACTGAGGTAGGACTAGAACTCATAGTTCCTCAATGTTTTTATTACTGCATAGTAATGTGTGAGCACTACTGCTTCTGCATTGTTTTTGTCTAACTTAAGTGTTCTGCTATCCCATTTCTTGATTTCAGAGGATTCCTTCAAATGTATAAATTGAACTCTCCAAGTTAGACATGACTTTATTTTCTGTTCTCAAGTTTATGATACTTTGTTGAAAGTAGTTCATTAGTTGGACAGTCTAGAAGAATAAGATTTGAATGGGTTGACGGGGGCTTAACTTTGCATGAGCCTTAGATCCCTCCAAAACTCTCCAGAGCTTACTCGCTGCTCACAGGAAACTGACTTTGATGTCCTCCTTACTTGATTAGTGCTCTGAGTGCTGAGGTTCGACTCTTCCCTGACCCTCCTGGCAGTACCAGACACCACCCTTGCTCTGCTTGGCTCTGTTTAAGCCAGGCTCAGTGGGCTGCTTTGCATGTTCTAAATGCCTTGTGATGCTTCTTCCTCTAATCAGGCTGAGTGTCACTGCTTCCCCCAATCACCCTCGACACTTAATTGACCAATGGAGCTAGACATATGGAAGATCGAATCACAAACCCAAATCAGCAGTTGTCAGAAGAGATTAATTCAAACAGGAGGCAGCAAAACACTTGTTTTTTTCCCTTTCTCACTTTGCTCTCATTTTCAGCAGTCTGATGAGAAAAATGATTATTAATGTCCCCAGCTGTGCCCTCAGGCAAATGCCAGGAACTTCAGTGAACTGCTATCTACTTCCCCGGCTTCCTTAAGTCTTTCTTCCACAGATACCTTCTGGCCCTTTGATTAACCAGGTGGCACTGGGGTGAGTCTGGCACATTATGACTATGAGTCAAGTCCAATCTGTAGAATCCTGTTGGGAAAGTCTCCCCTGTGAGCCATGCTGAGAGCACTTTCCTTCCCTGGCTCCTACTTAGAGCCAGAAGTGGAAATGATGAGTGGGTACAGTCTGACTGTCTAATCTCTCCTGGGTATAGTTCTCAACATGTCTGTTGATCTGCAGACATGTATTCAATGTATTTATTTTTTATGTTTCAGCCCTTTTTAGGCTCTGTGCAAAATAGAGAAGCGTAATCATTGCTCCTGAACATTGTGGAAGAATAAAAACTAATATTTATTGAATATCTAATATGTGCAAGATATTGGCTTAAGCATTACAAACTTGGAGCTTTATGTCAATTACTTAGTTGTTCACTCCTTAAGGACTTAACTGTTTTCAAGTGACAGCACAACTCAACCTGGCTTAAAGAAAAGGAATCTATTGGCTCACATTTCAGAGAAAGCAGTAAATTCCAGATCATCAGAGCTCAGGACCACGCCATCTCTGGCTCACCACTTACAGTGCCATCATGGTTGCAAAATTCCACAGTTACTATCTAGCCTTTTAGAAACCCCAGTGGTAAAGGAAGGAAGGGCTTCTCTTTCTCAGTCATTTCCTAAAGAGTCCCAGGCCTAACTCTTATTTGCCTAAAACTGTGGCCATGGTGTCTAGAAAATGCAGATGAATTGTCTTAAGGCATAGTCCTCCTTAGGAATTAGAAATGGATCACTGGAGTTCAAAACCAGCTCACACCTTTAATTTGTAATCTTGGGCAAGTGACTCAGTTTCTCTGGATCTCTGTTTTATCACCTGTAAAGGGAGGGAGGGAGCTAGTAATACCTCTACTGAGGGTTAAGTGGGTTAAGTCAAGAAAACTTCTAGCAAGAATATCTGAAACTTAATCAATTGTTACTGTTTATATTTCAGGAAGAGTGACATCCAATTAGGAGGTATTTTGCATTAAAAATTGGACTAAATGACCTCAGTATAGCAGCTAACTTCAACAATTGTGTGATTTCTTTGCAGGTTTTTGTGATAGGAAGTTTTAGATTTGGGGGAATGACCTAAATTGTCAACTTAAGCCTGAAAGTATGCTACCATTTATTTCCAAAAGGCAATTTACTGCATCAGGAATTCCTGTTTCATCACTGATAACTGTAGTAGTGCTCTCACTGTAAGAGCACACCACCCTCAATGTAAGAGGTGCTTGCCCTGGTGGCTTGGTCAGCAAAATGAAGATTAAACCTGACTGCAAAAAAAAATTCCCAGCTACTGCCATAGTTTCGTCATATAGGAGGGTGACAACTTTGAAAGGCAATTGTGGGAGGGATGTCCTTCTGGGATTGGGCAGTCACCATCCAATCAGCACAACTTTATCAGTTTTGCATCTAGTGTAAGCTGGACGAAAAAAAAAAGGCATCAAAAGATACAATAACATAACGGCAAAGCAAACTGTGAGGAAAGAGTACTTGTTGAGGCAAACACATCAAGTTGGTAGGAAGGAAATAAAAGGGCATTGGTAATAGAAGAATCTCAAAAAAAGGTGTGATGTTAATGGCGGATGAGGTTGGTTTGATGAATGAGTTGTTTCCCTCAGAGTCTCTCCTTCTTTATATTTGAAAGGTTTTTTGTGTGTCAGCCAAGAAAGAGCCTCTTATGCTGGACATGGCAGGAGAGGCTCTGTGTCTCTGCAGCAACCATGAATGATTGTGATTTTGTTGCCCAGTGCCTGGAATGTAATTGCTATGTGGACAGTGGCTAAGGTATATCATGAAAGAAGTGGGACATGGAGGCTATATGGAATATTTCTCTTTCTCCAGATTTGATCTATACCACTTATACCTCTCACCACCAGCCGATTTGCAGTAGTAATGGAAGTGACAGTGTTAAATGAGAAGAATGTTATTAGTTACCACTGAAAATAATTATGTCATCACTTTTATTCACCACAGCCTTGTAAACCTTGCCTTCAAATCTTAAAATTTACTGGTGAGAGGTCCTCGCAGTGCAGACTTTTTTTTTCCAGAGAGATAAGGTCTCACTATATTGCCCACGTTCGTCTCAAACTCCTGTGCTCAAGCAATCCTCCTGCCTCAGCCTCCCAAAGTGCTGAGATTACAGGTGTGAGCCACCGTACCTGGCCCAGTGCAGACTTTACTCCTCCATCCCCACTGGCACTAGAATATGGGAAAAAGTAACAGACTTATATTTACTACTTATTAGGGAGAAGATCCTGAAAGCAGGTTAATGGGCATCTTCTACCATCTTGATTCTCCCTCTCTTTTTCTGCCTTCATATTAGTCTAGATGCTGTCCATAAACATCCCCCCAATCATATCTGTGTTTCATAACATCATGTTTCAACTAAAGAAACCTTAGTCTATAGCAGTGTTTCTCAAAATGTGGTCCAGTGACCATCTGCATTTGAAATATCCAGTTTCTTATTGAAAATGCAAATTCCTTGGCCATTGGAGTCAGAATCACTGAAAGACCAGGGGTTTAAATTTTTTTCAAGCTCCTTGTGTGACATTTATAAACAAAATATTACTGCATATATAAGAACCATTGAGAATCATTAGTCCCGAGCAGCACTGCCCAAAAGAAATATGATAGGAGAAAGACAGTTAATTTTAAATCTTCTAGTAGACAAATTAAAACAAACAAGAAATAGATAAAATTTATTTCCATAATATAGTTTATTTAACCCAATATTATCATTTCAACATGTAATTCATATAAAATTGTTAATAAGTTGTTTTAAATTCTTTTTTACATGCTAAATCTTAGAAATCTAGTGTGTACTTTATACTTACAGCACATATCAATTTGGAGCAGATACATTTCAAATGTTCAATAGACACATTCGGTTAGTGGCTACCATATTCGGTTAGTGGCTACCATATTCGGTTAGTGGCTACCATATTGGACAGTGCAGTCTAGTGATATGGGGGACTATTTCTTTTTAACATAAACTACTAATATTGTCATAGTTTTGCCATGCCACGTGGCCTTTATCATAGAACATATAATGCTTCTGATATGTAAACAGTCCGAAATGAATGACTGAAGAATTTCTACATTCTGTTAGTCATATATCTACAAAATTCAAGCTCATACCTTTTGATTTACATAACAAATGAGATCATTATTTTTAGGTTTTTCTCTCTAGGGGATATTTCACCTTTTTTGTCATTAAAAGAATGATTTATTCTGTAAAATATGGAACAAGAACACATTTTTTAGTGGTTACAGTAAAGCCATAAGAAATGGGCTTGATGTGGCAATAATAATAATGATAATAATAATAATGTTTATCAAGCACTTGGTTGTGCTAGTTATTATGTAAAACACTTTATATAACATATATAATTTATTTATTGTGGTTTTACCAAATCTAAGTAATTATCCTAATTTAACAAACTAAAAAAATGGAAACTCAGAGGTGTTAAATAACTTGCCAAAGGTCATACAGTTTTTGAGATTCTTTCTATCATGCACTATACTAACATTGTGCACTTTCCATGTAATTAGAATTCTCAGAATTTTAAAAGTATTTTTAGTAAGTTGTTTTGTCTTGCATTTTGTTTTGTGTTTTTTGTTTTGTTAGGTCTTCCACTAGGCAGCTTTCTCAACCAGAAAATGCTTTGACCAAAGCAATTTCATAGATACCTACAGAGGTAAACTGTGAAGTGTTTCCATGGCTTTGTGAATTTCTAATTTGTGTCTGAGAGTTGTTGGCAAAGAAAAAGTAGCAGCACTTCTCATCTTCTTCCTTCTTGTCCCCTTATCTCTTAGACCATTGATTCTTCTGATTGACTTTCTCAGTCTCCAGCACTCACCCTCTTGCATAGCAAACTGTGAAGCTTGAGCAGTGTGAAAGATATTATGCTTTTTATCTCTACTGCCTATAAGTGCCATGTAAATGGAGATAAATGAAATCCTCACAAAAGCACAGACCCCGGTATGAGAGTCAGCTGTATCCTATGGGGAAGATGGGGCAGTGAGCACACGTGATGGGAAGGACTGAGAAAGGAGGTGGCGGAGTGGGAAACAGCTGTCTCGTAGAACCGCACAGGTGTATGGGGTACTCATTAAGTTCCCATAGGCTCTGTCATTAAGGCTGTGGCAGATGTTCTTGAATGTGACTGGCATAGTCACAGGGGAGGCTGTAAACTCAACTTATTGTTCAGACCACTGGTGTGGCACCGCTGGGCAGAAGGTTGGCAAGTTGCATCTCCTTGCCAGAATAACAGCTGCTCTTGTCTCCTTAGTTTGTGGAGTCTTTGTCGATTTCCTCTTTGGCAGCCTGGTCATATCTCACAGGCTCAGTTCTGCTCCTTTATAATTGGGTTTGAGTTATTCAAAAAAAGAAAATCCCATGTAAATAGAGGCAACATAAACAAAACCTTTCCTACTTAGGGGCTACAATATAATCCTGGGCCGATAGTCCTGTGAGAGCTTCTCCAACATAAACCCAACCCCAGGATGTGTTTAAAATTTTTCAGCTGAGGGATATTTGCATGGTTAGTAGCATAAGGCCCAGAACAGTCTTGGAAATTGCATTTGAGACTCTGGAATTTTCACAAATATACTACATAGTGGAGGGTATATCAAAAGCCATTAGTTTTTCCAGAAAGTGGCAAAACAGCTATCTGCTGCCAGACCTGCAATGGAAGTATATATATGATATTTTTCTTTCTTTAAAAAAATTCTGTATCACAAATTCCTAGGCCCATACTCTAAAAATATAGATTGTTGCATTTCTGTTCATAAATAGAGATAGTGGAGAGATAGTGGTTACTGGGATAGGTGAGTATGCTTTAGCACACTGATAAGTTGACTTGAATCACGAGCTAGGTATCACTGGACTAAAAATCACTGATTCCTTTGTGTACTGTTTTGTGTGTATCAATTCAGGACTTAGTCTTCAGGTAGTGGCAAAACCCTCAAGTATTAGACAAGACAGGGCAAATCTTAATGATTGATATGTTTTGTTTAAGTGTAACCCTTCTGTAACTCTAAATATCTCTAAGATAATCTATTCCTTTTTATTTTGGGGGGAATTTGAAACTACTTGGCATTTGGTAAAATCTTGGTAGTGAATTACTGATATTTGAAAGAAGATAGATCAAGGTCTACAGCAGATGGCTTTTTAGCTATTTGCCAACAGATTTTACCTTTAGCATACTGTTAGTGAATTTACCAGTTCTGGGTCTAGCTCTCAGCCTCAATGGTCCAAATGTCACTTATCAGTGTCTAGAGTTATTGGATTTAGGAGGCTGACTAATGATAATAAAACTCACAAAAGACTGAACTATGAGCCAAAATGCCAAGATGCAAATTTAGAGTGATATAAGTATCCCAATGCTGATATCTGCCTAACTGGTGCATCCCTCCTTATAGGCCAATCTTCAGGGGTCGAAGAATTACTTAGCATCCTTGAACCTAAAATAGAGATAATTAGTTGTATGAGTTGCATATATATTAACATGTCTAATGTATCTATCTCTGGGGTGATAATAATAAACATTTATTGAGAGTGCTATTTCAAATGGTTAGTACATATTAACTCAATTATTTATACAATAAACCTAATGATGGATGCTATTATAATCACTTACAGAAGATGAAATTGAGTCACAGAGATGAAAATAAGTTCTCCAAGGTTAAGGAATTAGTAATCTGGCAGTAGATCCTAGCTTTTAAACACTTTGCTATAATGTATACATAGCTATCACAGAAATTGGGCAAGTTCCTGGTACAGAGACTATCTTCTCTCAGCCAGTGTTCAATACTCTACCAAATTCTGGCCCTTTGGTTTCCCTTTTCTACAGTCCAAGCTAATCTTTTTCACTTTGTTCAGTTTTTCACTAGACAGGATACACAATAATTGCCTGGAGTCCAGTTCATTACATTTCAATCAAACTGCTGCATTGCTTTCCTTAGTTCATCTTGATGAAAGTTATATAGAATTCTCAAACCTTTTTGTTCTCACCTTTATAAATATCATAACCTGGCTTTTTTCTAGAGGTGGCTGTTGGACACACATTATCTCTGCATCCACCTACTTTGATTCTCAGAGGTCAACATCATTTCCTAGTCCTCAGTGAATTCTACACAATTATCCTTAGGTGCCTCCCGCGCCTGTAAAATCCATAATTCTTGGAATTCCCTCAAATTCTTCTCCTGAACCTATTAAATAACAGCCTGTCCCATGAATACTCAAACCCCAGAGTTGACTGCAACTCAGGCAAAATTTCCCACCTCACAGGGAATTTACAGGGGTGTCTCTAGCCTGGAGTTCCAGGATGTAAAAGACATCAAATTTGCCGTTTAGTGATTTGTTTGCATGCAAGAAAGAGGTACTGAAATACTGATTGGAGTTTTCCATGACGTTCTGTTGCTCACTGGGAATATCATGGAAAGACCCCATTCCTTAGTTCAATTTGATTATCTATACTTTAGTGTAGCTGTTCCCTTAAATGCCCTGGATTTAATTGCTAAAGCATACAGTTTATCCTTGTGCATTCACCTCTATTCTGTGCATATCACAAATTGCTTATTATATCCGGAGTGGGTTTTTCTCGTAAGTCAATAAAACTGCCATATAATCAAGAGTTTCTTGGAATATGGAGAAAATTGGATGCAACCAAATTATTATTAAAAGGTCAGTTGTTTTGCTGTGTTTGACAAATTTTAGATCATTATTCTTTTTAGTTTTGTTGCATTTTTTTTCTTTTATCTTATCTTTTTTTTTTTTTTTTTTTTGAGACTGGTCCTCACTCTGTCACCCTTGTTGTAGTGCAGTGGCAGGATGACAACTCACTGCAGCCTGAAACTCCTGGGCTCAGGCAATCCTCCCACCTCAGCCTTCCAAGTTAGCTGGGACTTACAGGCACATGCCACCATGCCCAGCTTATTTTTTTTTTCTTTTTTTGTAGAGATTGGGCTTTGCCATGTTGCCTACACTGGTCTCAAACTCCTTAGCTCAAGCAATCTGACCACCTCAGCCTCCCAAAATGCTGGGACTACAGGCATGAGCCATCATGCCCAGCCTATTGCATATTATTTTTAAGATTAAATGAACTTATTAGAAGAGTCCCATCATACAAATACTACATGACCAACTTCACAAAAACATTCCCTGTCTTAATTTCTTGTGTCAATCCAAATGGATAAACAGCCCCATTTTCAAGGAACTAGCAGAATTTTCTTTTCAATGTCTAAAATTGTATATACAAGCAGTGGCTGAAATTTGGAGCAGGACTTCTTGAAGGCCACTAATAAGAGTCAGTGCAGTCAGCAGTCTCTCTGGAGAATCAGAAGAAACCTATTTGTCATTGAGAGATGTAAAAACTAAAACCCAAAGCTGGCAATACGTTTGTCTCTAGTCTCAAAATAGTTCTATTTTAAATATATGAATCCTGTAATTTCTGCTTTTCATGGATCCCAGATCACTTTTTAGTATGTGGGATGCATTATAAATTATGATAATATGAGGTATCAAAAATTGTCACATTTACTTAGCAAATAGCCAATACATTGATTCCTCTAGATCTGTATAGTACACTGTGGTAAGGACTAATCACATATGGCTATTTAAGTTTACATTTACATACAATTAAAACCTGAAAATTTAGTTCCTCAGGTTACACTAGCCACATTTCAAGTGCTCAATAGCCACATGTGACTAATTGCTACAGAACTGGAATCAGTGCAGGTTTAGATATTTCTTCTACTCCATGACCCAGTGCTGGAACCTTCTCCATTAAAGCTCTTGCAAATCCTTTTTCAGGCACTGCTTTGACACAGGCAGATAAGAAACACTAGGCCATAAGACAGCACATTCCTCAGTTCAATGCCTTTAAATAAAAAAGAAAAAGTTTTTCCTTCAAATTAAAAAGTATATATATTTAACTGTCTTTAAGTTGCACCCATTAGTTCCAACTAAACAGAAAAGAATCCAATACAGTGTACTGAATCAAATTATTGAGCTGTTATTGAAACACCATATTAATATTTCTTTTACCCATGTGTATACCTGTTTTTCAGTTATTGCAGAGGCAAAGGAGAAAATCAAGCACAATATTAGTCCTTTTGACCTTGCATACAACTATTACAAAATGCAACAAATACTCTTTATTGAAGTCATGGTTCATGCTGGATTTTGTAATCTGCAAAGTGCCATTTTACCACTGACAACTCTCACTCAGTCTTTGAAGGATGCATTTCATGAACACCTAGGCCTGATTTTCTCATCTCTCCAAATAAGCAAATGGACTATGAAATAGTTATATGCCTACACAGTGCTGGATCCACAACACGGTGTTTCCCAAACAAGGTTATTATCTAGAGTCTGGATTTGAACCCAGTCTAGGTTGGACACATTCTTGACCACTATGTTAATACAGCCCTGTCGACCTTGAAAGATGAAAGCTATTTTGACAGGTGATGAGTGAGAGCCAGGGCAACCCTGATGATGTAGAATTCATCAACAGTTTGTCAACCACATACTTTTTAAGTAAACTAAAATATAACATTTTGTTTGAATGTTATGTAGGATAGGATAGAAAATATCAGAGTGCATTGCAAATAGTAAAATATTTTTGTTTTATTTATGTATATAAGTAATAAGCCATGTTTCCATCTCATTACCTATAAATCAGTGTTTATTGCTGAGGGTTGCAGTCAAGAAAGTTTGGAAACTCTTGTAGAATCATCCCTCTTTGGGGTATTGCTCAGAAGATATGACTTATTCTAGGCACATTTGGTGAAGACTTTGCTAAAAATCTCTTAGAAATCCAATCTGAATTCATGTGCTTATCTCCCAGGTTATTCTTGGCTCTGAATAGATTAGACATATTGTAAAAGTTAAAGCATTAGGTGATTTTTTTTTTTTCCTAGATAACAGACGGTCACATTCTATTACATTGTAATTTGGTCAGTATTTGGAAAGATGTTCAAATGAGTAGTAGTAATAAAACTTCAGTCTCATCTTGTTCATATTTATTTAGCACTTACAAGATATACTGTTTTGTGTCAGGCCTGTGTGTGTGAAAGAACCATGCAGTTCAGGATAGGTAAAGATGCCATTAGTCTGACAGCACTTCAGATTGGTCTTATACTGCGGTTAACATTTTGACAGACCCAAACTCTGTCTATGGATAGAGGCTGAAAACAGGAATATATCTTTTGTTTCACTTTTAAAAATTGTCTATGGCATAATACCTATGTTTGCATGAGTTTTGAAAATACTTTAAATCATTTAGTCTATATCTTAAAGATGGCATCACTAGTCTTTATTACAGAAGAGAAAATGGAAACTCTGAGATGTTGAGTGACCTGTTCAAGATCACATTTAGTAAGCTGACCCAGGATATAAACCTTTTATTTTCAGATCCAGTCCATGCCCACACCCCAAGGCCTTCCCCATAAACATGAGTGGTGTAGCCTTTTCCAAAATATTCATGGTTGTGTAGAAGCAGGATTCAGACATTTAGTCACTTCCAGTATGTTTTTAGAGAAAGGAGAACAAATAAGTTAATAGCTATTCTTGAAAGTGACTTGCTTATATCAACTATCTTATAAGTCCACTACAATTTTTACCAGTGATTTCACTGACTTAAAAATTTGCCAAGAATCATAGCATTTTATTCTTGTTACATTGACATTTTTTCTATATTACGTAAAAGCATTACTACAAAGAGAGGCACAGCCTACTGAATTTCTCTTAGACCTGCCATCTGATATGTTGTAGGCCTTGGGCATATGAGCTCCTAGTAATTTGCATGGTAATTAAACTCATTTAGACAATACATTGCTTAATAGGGGATGGGACAGCTTCTCACCTGACACTTCATTAAACTACCTGTGCTAAGGCCTTTCTAGATGACAGGGCCAAGTCCACATCACAATATTAAATATGTTGTACATTTGTTAAATAAAAAATTTAAAAAGTTAGCCAACTAGATAATACTGATGTTGGATTCAGAAATAAATGTTCACTTCCAAATATGCCCTGTTCCCCTCTGTATTAAATGGTGCTTCACTGATTTTTTTTGCTTGTACCTCAATCTTCATTTTCCAAATCAACACACAGATTGTGGAAGCCAGTTATTGCCACATACTTTCAATATGAGCAAAAAGGTAAACTTGACAGTCTTCTCCTTGGTGCGCTCACAATTTATAGCAGTGAAGAGAGGGCACAGACTTGTGAAAAGCTGCAGCCAGTAGAAAAAACAATGTTGTCAGTGAATAACAGAAGTTGAATTGATTTGCTAGGGGATTGCCAAAGAAGAACAATTTGGTCCGTGCAAAAGTAATTGCGTTTTTTTATTCCATTAAAAGTAATGACAAAAACTGCAATGACTTTTGCACCAACCTAATAACTCTAATAAATTTATGAGAGAAAGGTTTTTGGAAGTATATTTTCTTTTGTTTTATTTTATTTGTGTTAAATGTTATTCAACCTGAGCTAGGTACCAACATTATTCCAAGGTTATTATCTAGAGTCTGTATTTGAACCCAGTCTAGGTTGGACACGTTCTTGACCGCTATGTTAATACGGCTCTGTCGACCTTGAAAGATGAAAGTTATTTTGACAGGTGATGAGTGAGAACCAGGGCAACTCTGATGATGTAGAAACATGAGTAAAGTCACAGAAATATGTGTGTGTGTGCTGGTTTGAGCTGCCCTATTCCTGGCCACTGGTGTGTAGGGCTTGTGATAGAATGCCAAGAGAATGAGGTACTAAATGAAGACTTGGAAGGAGACAAATGTTCCTCAGTGAGGATGCAAATGAGGAGGGACCCAGGACAAAGCCCTGGGGACTGCTGACATTTACCAGGCAGGTGGCATTTGGTGAAGGTTACAGATATACAAATGTCTCTTCTTTATCTTTCATAGAAAGGTAATGGAAAATAATTAAAATAAAGACAATGAAACAAATATTAATACTAACTGTGAAGGAAGATCATTCCCGTCAGATATTTATTGGAGCACTCCCCTTGCCATAGTGTTCTGCTATTACTCTGTATAAGGCATTTACAATGGGTTGGTACAGGAAGAAGGTTAAAAATCCTGTGGTGGATTCCAATAGCACATATTCTATTCATCCTCCGCCAACTTGCACTTCCAAGATTTTAATGCATATTCTGCCCTGCATATACATGCACAGAGTCACCAGCACAGTGATATGTAGAAATGGCAATAAATGAATTAAACAAGTAAATAGTACTCCTAAGAGTAATACTATATGCATTCGTTTCAAAAGGGAAGAAAAATCAAAATTAAACATAGGAAATTTTTTGGCCAAGCATGTTGGCTCACGTCTGTAATCCCAGCACTTTTGGGAGGCCAAGGCGGGTGGATCACAAGGTCAGGAGATTGAGACCATCCTGGCCAACAGGGTGAAACCCTGTCTCTACTAAAAATACAGAAATTAGCTGGGTGTGGTGGCGCATACCTGTATTTCCAGCTACTTGGGAGGCTGAGGCAGGAGAATCACTTGAACCAGGGAGTTGGAGCTTGCAGTGAGCCGAGATCGTGCCATTGCATTCCAGCCTGGCAACAGGGTGAGACTGTCAAAAAGAAAGAGAAAGGGAAGGGAAGGGAAGAAGAAGGGGGAGGAAGGGAGGAAGGGAAGAAGGAAGGAAGGAAGGAAACAGTTTTCTGGTTGTGTGTGTATGTGAGTGTGTGTGTGTTTTATTTTGTTTTAAGTGCACAACTTCAGAGTCTTTAATATACTGATGGTTACTGTGACCCACAAGAGAGAGGGTTGCTTAGGTGGCACTTCCCAAATTTAGTGGCCATGGAATCTTTTTCGATGAAATACATTGTAGGATTTCTGTGGAGCACACTCTGGAAAATGCTGCTTTCCCAAGTTGTTCACTAATGCTTGTGTCCTGTGCTTTGGGTCTATATTTGTCTTATGATAGCAAAAGAGACAGGCACCCATAATGAAATTAAGTACTTGAAAGTAGCATTTCCTAAATTGTTTCTCAGTTGTATGTTATATTCTTTCTTTCTTCAAAATTTCTGCAGCACTTTGTACCAGTCATCCAACTTTCATCTGATATTTTCTCCTGTCCTAATAAATCTCCTCGATCATAAATATTGCATCTTCAGCTTTTGAGCAAAATTATTTTTAAATGAATGAGTGAATGAGAGTGTAAGAACATACTAGATATATAAAGGCACTAAAATTGCCTTATGTACAAAGAAACAAAATAACTGTGAGAACCCTACTTTATTGCTAATTGTATGTAAATATGCAGCAGGAGGGGCCCATACATCGAGAGTCAAAGACGGGAAGCCCAGGATTGCTGTCTGTAAATTCACTTCATTTGTTCATCCATTACGATGACATAATAAGAGTTGAATTAGAGATCTGTGACATTTGTCTGAGCATGGATGGATGAGATATGGGGCACCCTCACCAAGGGGTGAGGTCAGGGTGCAGTTCAGGCAGGAGAAACTTCAATTTACTGATAGAATTTGAGAGACACTGAAAGCTGCCTCTAGAGATTGATTGAATGATGAAGAAAACCCAGTGCCTCTTTCTCGGATAAGATACTAACTTAGTAAGAACAATTGATTTGGTAGTAGTGTCAGCAGTGGCAGGTACAAATTTAAGCATAGGTCCTACTCAAGAGCAAACAACTCCTGGGGGGGGTGAGGCAAATAGAAACTTATCATTAAAGGAGAAAGTGGCAGTCTATCAGAGGCATACGTATTAAGAAGTCTAGGCTGGGCGCGGTGGCTCACGCCTATAATCCCAGCACTTTGGGAGGCCGAGGCAGGCGGATCACGAGGTCAGGAGATCGAGACCATCCTGGCTAACAAGGTGAAACCCCGTCTCTACTAAAAATACAAAAATTAGCGGGGCGTGGTGGCAGGCACCTGTAGTCCCAGCTACTAGGGAGGCTGAGGCAGGAGAATGGCGTGAACCCGGGAGGCAGAGCTTGCAGTGAGCCGAGATTGCACCACTGTACTCCAGTCTCGGCAACAGAGCGAGACTCCATCTCAAAAAAAAAAAAAAAAAAAAGAAAGAAGTCTAACATTTTTTTAATGCTTTAAATTGATGTTCTACTTTTTAGAAGCATTTCAAAATATATGCTCAGTTATATGCATGCTGCTTTATTTATCAAGTTTATATGATTTAGGGGGAAGATTTGTGCTATGGAGTCTCTGAAGCTACAAAGAGGAAGTTTAGCTGTTACGTTGTGATATTTAATTAGTCAACGGTGGCTTGTGGAATCTTGACCTCAAGACCCTGTTGCCTTAATCAGGCTCTCAGAATTGGTTTGGCAGGGAACAGGAACAGGTCAGAGGCATCTCTACTAGAAATCTAATGAAATAACAACCATATAGATGCCACCTAAGTGTTGTGTGTGTTACCTTCTGTACAAATTCAGAATGAACAAAAGTGACAGAAACCTCCCACTAGAATAATGTTTTTCGCCCCTTCTATGTATTTGAGACAAAATGGGACAAATAAGTCATCAAATAGAAGGTTTCTAGGCTAGTACAAACTGGAGATGTGGGTGAATAACAGCAAAATCCTACCGATCAGTCAATCTGAACGTCAGTCAGGGTAAATCAGCTCATACAGGCATTCCAGTTTGTGCCATCCGGGCAAACTTCTACCATACTTCTTCTGAATACTGAGGAATCTAGTTCTATGCAGAAATTGCCTCTGAAAGTCATCTAACCTGGACTAAGTTGTACTTCCCTAGATCCGTTCTCATAGAAATTCCTCAGTGCAAGATAATCAACCAAGAGAGAGCTATGTATCTCCCCTTCTTCTATCATTTCTAATTCCCTTCAATCACCAAGACTCTTTCTTTCTCATTTTCTCTCCAAACCTATTTTGGGATATTTTGTTTGCAATCTCATCTCCCTTTTCTGCCCAGAGTCATTATCCAAGAGTTGTTTTTCTTCTTCTGTGTCACTGTATTCCTAATGTAGGAGGTAATACATTTAGTTGATTTTCATTAAATGATTTAGATAACTTTCCTTAATAAAAGCACCAGGTAAAGAATTAATATATCTTCATTTTACAACTTCATTAGGCCAGCCTCAATCCAGCAGTGAGGACTCTAATTTGTAAAGAAGGTAACACACGCAACACTTAACGTAGTGTCTTTACATGGATTGCAATTCCTTAGATTTTTGGTAGAGATGCTCCTAACTTGTTCTTGTCCCCTGGGTTGGTGATTTGCTAATGAGAATATACAAACTGTAACTCTAACTTTTATATTTCTTTAATTAGCCTTTGGGAAATGAATGTGTTTTCTAAGTAAAGCAAGAAGTATGAGACAAGCGATTGTTGTAGAGAATGTTGCCTAGCAGAGTTTGGGAAGATGACAGTAGGCCCTAAGTATAGAATAATCTGATAATTTTCTTTTATCCAAATAAAATTACCCCCTATATTGAAGAAGAATATGAAGGAGCATGAGGAGGAGGAGAGGAGAAGGGAGAGAAGAGGGAAAGAGAGAAGGAAGAGGAAAAGAGGATGAAGAAGGAGAAGAAGGAGAAGGAGAAGAGGAAGAAGGAGAAGGGAAAGGAGAAAAAGGGGAGGGGGAAGAAAATATAAAGAAAAAGAAGAGGAAAACAAGCTGAGAGAGAAAGAGAGAGAGAGAGAGAGGATTGGAAGTTAATATTTACTGGTGCTTCCCTGAACCTTGCATATTATACGAAATTTCCAAGGATTCTTTGTCTAGGCTCTTCTAGGATTCTTAGCCTATGGCCATCCCAAGCTCCATCCAGCATCAGCATCCTCACTGTTACTCTCTTTTCATTACATAGAAGTCCCAGGGCAATTTCTGTCTCCCAACATTCAAGGACATCAGACAGAAAAGAACATATAAAAAGGAAAATTAGAGCAACCTAGCAAATGCTGATACAGGAATTGGTGTGCTGGGGGAGGGGAGGGTTGCAGCGAGACAGATCTTTGTCCTGGGCCTCACAGCACTCACCCCACTCCTTAGTAGAACCTCCCTCAGTCCACGAGGAATCAGTCTCCCCCCGCCCACATGGCAGTGGCAATGTTCTGCTCTAATTTTGATACCTTAAACAAGACTGCAAGGGAAAAAGGGAAGGAAGCTAAAACTGTTTTGAGCACCTACTACATAACAGATGTTTCCTAACACATTACCATTTAATTCTCACTGCCCTGTGCCATAAGCGTTATTATCTTCTTATCACATTTGTAGAAAATAAGCCTCAGAGAATTTCTGTTACTTTTTCAAGTTTTCATATAAGCAAGGCACAGAGGCTAGACCCAGGACATTATGTCTCTAAAGTGCCTGCTCTTTATAAGATGTCAAATCTGTGACCTGGTTATGCTTCAACTGTAGGGTTTTATTCATTCTAATTAGAGCTGCTAGAAGTTAGACTTTGCTTCTGTTTTTTTTTCCTCTGCAGAAGCACATAAAGACTTATGCTTCTATAAGGCCAGCAGGGGAAAAAAAAATTTCACTGTTGTGGATTTTCTTTCCAGACTAAATCCTAAAGAATTTTACTTTCAATATTTTAAAAAAAATAAGTAATATATACATGTTAAAGAAATATTAGGAAATGCATTTGAATAAAAAGAGAACTCCCCTTCCCAAAAATAATGGCTCTGATTCCACGAGCCATAGACAGCTAGTGTGAAAATTATGGTGTGTATTTTTTCATGTTTAGTACATATTCATAAACTAAATTGCCATATACAGAATTTTGCAAATGGGTTTTTTCATTTAATATTATGTAATTAACATAACAATTGTATGTGAATAGATATACATCTACAGCACTGTCTTTTAATAGCTCCAGAGTATGCTGTTGTAAAGATGTCTGTAAAATGTATTTAATCATCCCAGACTTTACAGGGACCTGAAAAAAATGTATTTAACCAGGCATGCACCTGTAATGCCAGCTACTGGGGAGACTCAGGTGGGAGGATCACTTGAGCTCAAGAGTTCAAGGCTGCAGTGAGCTATGATCATGCTATTGCACTTCAGTGAGACTCCATCTCTTAGAACAAAACAAAACTTATTTACTCAAATTCTATTGTTTGACATTTAGGTTCACTTTCTGCCCCCACTACATTATAAACAACAGTACAAAGAACATTCTCACAACTAATTCTTTGTGAACATTCTTAATTGCTTCTTTATTATAATTTTTTAGAAATAGAAATTACTTCACCCAAATGTTACACCTATTTTTGAAACTTTTGATAAGTATTACCACATCTGCCTCAGGAAACTTGTACCAATTTACAGTTCTGGCAAAACCTTTATCAACATAAGGAAAATCATTTGCTTTTATCATTAAGATTTAATGAGAAAAATAGTCAACTTATTCCAATTTGTATATTTTACTTTTAATTTGCTTTAGCAGTACATATTTTTCTTATAAAGTCTGTTCATATGACTGCTTTTCCCAATTTGTTATTTATATTTTACTATTATGAAAGCTTACATATTTATGTTTTAAATGTTTTATTCTTTTCCATTTTTCCTAATCTTGTTTTCTAATCTTATTTTTCGACCTTGGTGTCATTCTGAGGAAAGTCTTTCTCATCTCAGAATTATGCAAATGTATAACTGTGTATTCTAACTAATGATCCCTGAAAAGACATCCTGGCCCAGCCAGGTTGTAGACCTGAGGATCCAAATTTTTGTCTCTATTTCTTCTCCTATGCTCCTCAGGACTATTTTGGAAAGGCTGATGAGCTGGAAGGACATTGGTGATGCCATCTAATCATTTATGAATACACAGAGCACGGAGTAGGATACAAACTTGTATCCCTCTGTGGACATTTAGCTTAACAGCTTCATGGGAACAGTGGAAAAGAGAAGGAACTATTGTTTTTACCTAAGGTAACTGCACAAAGAATGAACTCCCTTTCAGCTCCTAGAGCTTCAATCCCTGGGCTTTGTTTCTCATAGACCCTGGAGAGCAGCTTGTATATACCACAGAAGAATGCCTCCCAAAGCCCTGCTGAGGCTTGCCTTCAGTGGTATCCTTCCAGTCCCACAGCAGGACCTTTGCAATTACAAACAGCCTTGAGAATTTCCTCTGAGGGTGGCTGCTCCACCATAACCCAGAGGAGGGCTTGAACTCTTTGTAGATGTATGTCAGACTAATTCAGTGAAAGGGCAAGTTTGCGTTCATCCTTGATTCCAGATGACAATGAATCACTCTCATGGGTGCACTATGTTGAAAGAAAATTTCCTTAAAAATATCCCAGTGTTCCATTTTCACATTTTTGAGACCCATTCAAACTGTATATTTTTCTTCCACAGGAACTTTTTGTTGCTTTGGATTACTGCATTCATCAGCAAATATTGAACTCCTTAATGTTGACATGGTGTTCTTCCTTTAGAAGAAAACCCTGGTCACCTATTTAAGGAGAGTTTCCTAATTAGGCTAGCTTACCATGTTTGAACTGTCAGTATCTCATGATACCAGAGAGTATGCACTACATTGGGCAACTCTTTTGTATTTTCCAGGGATTTATAGAATACGTTAAATATCTGGGTTATTTTTCAAGATAATGGGGTGATTTCCAAGTCACCAAAACTGCAAGAAGAAGATAAATTTTGTAATCAAATAGAGATTAATCTCAACAAATTTCCAGGATAAACTTCAATTTCCCCATTTGTAAAATGGATCTATCATATGGTCATTATGAGGATTAAATGATGTAAGCATCTGGGATCACAGAGCCTCAAATGTACTAGAAGGTGTACAATGAATCTAATTGTTCATTTTTGTTCATTCCTAGCAGTTGTCCTTTCTATGAACAAAGTGTCCATGGAAAGTGGGAGACCACATTTTTCCCCAAGGCAGCTCCAGTGCACCCTTTACCCACATCCCCAGGATTTAACCCTTTCTTTACCACCCAAACCTCCTAAGCTCCCAATGCCCCCGAAGAAAGAAGAAGAAGAGGAAGAGGAAGAGGAAGAGGAAGAAGAGGAAGAGGAGGAAGAAGAAGAAGAAGAAGAAGAAGAAGAAGAAGAAGAAGAAGAAGAAGAAGAAGAAGAAGAAGAAGAAAGAAGGAAGAAGGAAGAAGGAAGAAGGGTCCAACTTCTTCCAGCCCTCCAGCCATTTTTCTTGCCAATTCAACACAAAAACAGAGCATGACAAAGGGTGGGGTGGCAAAGAGAGAGAGCAAGTTGCAATATCTCAAAAATATGCAACATACATTTTTCCCCAATGAGTAGATTGAGACTATTCCTGCTATTTAAATGCAAATGGGGTCAACACTTCCTTTCTCATAGTCTTTTTCTTCTTAAACTCTTATTCTTGAATTTGACCTTGGAACCTCTGAAACCCATTTCAAGAATTCAAAGTTTTATAAAGTGTGATTTCCTTGAAAGCAAGGGAATTGTCTTGTTATCTTATATTCCTAGTTACCAGCACAAGGCCAAGCATATGGGTCCTGAGTGTGGAATATAAATGTGAGTTGTTCCACTTATTTAAACAGAATGAACTCTTTATATGTGAACTAGAACATAACAGCGTGGTAGTTTTCATAGAAACAACAACAAACATTTAAAAGCAGCTTTTTCATCTTCATAGGGCCCATGTGTATTAAGTCCTAACATTTTTTTCTGTAAAGTAAACATGGTATGTGAGTACAAGGAATGAGTTTTAGAGTCATACCAAATAATAAGCCGTAGACAGGAGCATATGTGAACCAATGAAGAAGGAGCCCAATGTGTAGGCAAACCCTAGGCTCCAGAACCCTAAATTTTTTCTCTGGACCTTAACACCTGTCACTACTGTATAAACAGAGTCTGATAGCCTAACTAAAGATAAGTATATAATTTATTATAACTGAATAACTCTCAATCATTGGTGCAAGGGATATAATAGAGTTAAAAATTAAAAAGAAGTATAAGACATAACTCCTAACCTCTTTACTTTAAAAAGGCATAAATGAGAGATTTTTGTGCTTAATTTATAAAAGCCATCTGGCCCTTTAGTTAAAGATCATGCTTCTGACCTGGTGGAACAGCTGATGATTCCCTCCTTATTCATCTTTCAGCGGCCTATGTTTAGCAATTGGCAGAAAGCCTTACGTAGAATCAGGTGAAAGCTACACAAAGAAACCTGGTCTAGTTCATTAACAAGACAGCCCCATTGAGAAAGGTAGATCCTCAGACATTTAGGTTATAGGATTAAATTGCATCTTTCCTTCCTCTTTATTCCAGAAACTTTATGACTATTGGGAGCCATGAAAGAGCATTTTCTGATGTTTATTACGTAGTCATAACCATATGTTTCTCATTAGGAAATCAGCATTTTATTTCCATTCATTGTATACCATTTGTTCTGTGATTTATCAGCCCTTTCCTTCCCTCGTCTTAGTCCTTGTATCTGTGGTCTGTGGATGAAAGTGGGCTTAAGGAGAGGAGGATAAAGGAAGGAGGATTTGTATGGGTACAACCCTGCTAGTCGGCTTGGTCTCACTGGGAATGTCTGTCAATAACTTTGTCTTGAAAGAACGAATGTGTCTCAATATCTTCACCTTAAAAATGAAAATTATCCTAGAAAATCTTGAACAAAGTGTTTGATTTTACCTCTAAATGAAAGCCAGGGAGAGCTCAGGGCCAGATTTTGCAAAAGTTGTTTGACCAGGCAGAAAGATAAAGGGAACAATGGCTTTCTTGAGCTAGGGTTCTCATCAACACATTTAACCAGTGTGTGCCCAGCACTGCCATCTATACCTCAAGTTTGGTACTGTAAAGTCTAGGCAGGTAAATATAATCATTATATCCTTATTGTGTATGCAAATCACTGTGCAAAGAATCAGTTATTATGTAGTGATTCAATATATAGAATTCAATCATAGACATGTTTATTATGTGTACATTATATATAAGATACTGTTCTTGGTTTTCAGATTGAATAATTGAAAAAGGTATAATCTCTGCTCTGAAGAATCTAAAAATGAAAGGGTCAGATGGACATTCATAGAGATATCTATAAGAAGCCAAGTATGTTAATTGAGAATAAAAATATACATGAAATGAAATAGTTATATAAAAGGGAATGGACAAATTCAGATCTCACCAATGCCTTTGTCAAGCTTACATTCCAAAGGGGGAGAAAGACAGACACATAAAAATACAGATAACATAAATATTATGACATTTTTAAAAAAACTTAAATTGACCTTGATAAGCCCAAACGTTTGTATGGATGAGTGCAATATGCGTGTTGGTGTGTTTGTGTGCGTGCATGTGTGTGTTAGGTTAAGAATATCTCAACATTAATCTGCATGGGCGGAAAAGTAAAGGCAAAATACGAAAAGCTGATACTTATACCCAAGGTAGCTGAATGTAAAGATAAGACTATTGTGTTCCCCTTGAAACAGGAAGAAGAAACTGTTTCTCATTTTATTTTCCTTCTCCAACTAAGAGATTATCATGACATATGAATAGCTGTAAGCCAATGTGATTTTAGGATACCAAACCTGGTTGTCTACTCTGTTCCTTCACAAGTACTGCATGACTGTCTAACAGTTTCTAGAGGAAAGGGGTGTCTTCTGGGAACACTATTCTCCCCAGTATTTACTAGATCATAGGGTTAGCATAGTGCTAATAAGAGAAAATATTTTGAGTACCTTAAAATTTTGTATAGATAACAGGAAACATCATCATAAAAATAATTATTAACAAACTTCTCATGGTAACTGTTGAACAGATATATAATCATCCAAGTTTAATAGATAAGAAAACTGAGAATAATGTGAGTTTGCATGTGTTGCCTTGGGTTACATAAAAGGTTAATATATAGGCCAGGAGCAGTGGCTCACGCCTGTAATCCCAGCACTTTGGGAGGCTGAAGTGGGCAGATCACCTGAGGTCAGGAGTTCGAGATCAGCTTGGCCAACATGGTGAAACCCCGTCCCTCCTAAAAATACAAAAATTAGCCAGACATGGTGGTAGGTGCCTGTAATCCCAGTTACTTGGGAGGCTGAGGCAGGAGAATCATTTGAACACAGGAGGTGGAGGTGCAGTGAGCCAAGATCGTGCCACTGCACTCCAGCCTAGGCAACAAGAATGAGACTCTCTCTCAAAAAACAAAACAAAAAGTTTCTTTCCCCTGATCCTGTGCCATATCCCCATCATTCTTGAATTAACTCCAAAATTCCTTCCTCTTACCTGAATACTTACTATTCTTTTCACTGATTCTCCCTATGTAATCCTGTTGACAATATTTGACCCTTTTCTTGTCTATGGCAGTAGACATTATTATCAGTAAAAGTTCTAGGGAAAGTTAATGGTTGTGTACTAAAATACATTTATTTTTCATAAATGAACTAAAAGTAATTACACTGAAACATTCTCTAACAGTATTAAGTTTACTAGTAAAGTGTGTTCAGTAAAACTGCCAGAGCCTTAGCACTCCGTGAATTTGAGAAACAAACAAGCAATACTGCTTGAGTGCCATTAACAATATTTGTGTTAGGAATAAGATCTTGGTCACTTTTGGACAAGGAGAATTTATCAGTATTCAGGCAGCATTTTACCTCATTGCTGGGAACCTTCTGAGATGGGACCTTGAGATGTGAATACCTGAAACTCTTGCTCTTCTTACACTAAGAAATGAAGCCCTGGGCCACAGGATCTCATTGTCCTTCAGATGCAGATGTATTTTAATTCATCATATCTCCATAACCTGACGTTGGCTCCAGCTCTGAAATGCAAATCTCATTCCCCATGCCCCTGCTGCCTCCTCAGAGGTGACTTAAAAGAATACATAGACAATACCTCTGACAATCCTTCCTTTCAGGAGATCTGAAAGGTGAAGGACTTTGTAATATATGCTTTCAATTCTGTTGCCATAGTCCACTCTGACTTTCACAAAACACATATAGGTCAGAGTACATTAAATTTGATTAAAACTGTGGATTTTGTTTATACTAGGAGAGCATTTTGAGCTCACTTAATGGATGCCTTCACAATCCTGATACCAATCAGTGAAAAGTGCAGAGTGTGCTGCAAAAATCAATATACCATTCGCTTTGGACATTTCAAAAGAAAGACAGAGTTTCTGAAGTTAGAAATATGTTTGTCCCCAAATAATTCATTTTAGCTCTACTTCCAGAGCTCTCTTCCTTTTTTTTGTGGTGTACCTGTGTGCCTGTGTGTGTGAGACTGTGTTGATTAATGCAGACATTAGCAAAATGAAATCCCCAGATAGGGCACCCAGTTTAGATCAGAGCAGGTGCTAAAAATGTCAAGTGAATGAGCACACACTATTTATCTTCTCCTATGACACTGGTCATGCCATTTAGCAGCAAAGGAAAACACTAGTTGCCAGCATTATTTTCAACAGTTATTGCATTATTTCTTGCCAGGAAAGTATGCGTTTTCAGTAACTGCCTCTTCGAGTCCATATGCATAAAAATATTTCAGTTGTAAATGGCCTGATCACTGAAGTGTGGAAGGAGATCTGATTCAGTATTGAGTACATAAATAAACAAAACTTTTAGGTAAGAAACAGTAAGCTCAAAACAATTAAGTAATATAAGAAATAACCCTTTCAGTGCAGGATAACTACATTTTTATATTTGGTAGCTCACTGCCATCCTGTTTATAAGCTTAAGTTTTAGTTAGTTTGTTAACTTATACTATTGAAAAACTATGAAACACGATCACTTCTCCCTTTGAAAAGATTTTATCTTTCAGTTTATTGCAACATCTCCTCTTAAAAATTAAGTTTTAAATTTTTTTTTGGCAAATGCAGGCCAGAAATCAAGTAAATATTAATAACTTCATTATTTAAAAGTTACTTCACAGGAAAATATTAAGCCATTGTTTTGAACTGTCCAGATCACTGTATGAATCATAATTATTTCACAATTAACCTTATGTATTATATCACCCTGTTCCTTAGATAAGTAATAGTATCATTTGGGTAAGAATGCAGTACCATTCTGTAATATTTAAGAATGTACACACATACATATTTGTATTGAGAATATTTTAGTGTATTTTTTTCTTAAAATGTCTTTTTTGTGGTAAGAATGTTTGCAGAGACACTTTCAGAATGGGAGCAATTATTGCAATGACTGTATCAGCAGTTAATTTGAACAGTAGGACAGTTATATGTCTTCAAACTGTTTCTTCTAGTCATTTAATGTGTACTATTCAGAGCAAAAATCGGTAATTTGGGCAAAAATTAGACTATTGTGCAAAAGAGAATTTTCAGGCCCCATTATTCTGTTGGACTATTTGGTTAGATTTCACCATATAGCATTTGTCAAATCTTCTTTTATTTTGCTTGTGTTAATAAACCCAAGCAAAGTAAAAGAAGATTTGACAAATGCTCTATGGTGCCTCCTAGTAGAAATAGGTGTAGATTTAAAAAACATTCAGACCCTGATCTTTTGGTTGATTAGACAGGATAAATATTTTCTGTCTTAAAATAGGCTTGCAGTGGAAATCCTGCTATGACATGAATCCCTCCTTACAGAAATTCCATTCAGCAAACATTTCCTCTGCCTGATTGTGTACAGAGCCTTATTGCGTGCTGTGCATGAGACATACTACAAAGAAATCCAGGACATGAGGACTCTTGTTAAATTTCTGAGAGCTTGATGGTCAGCAAATATTTCAATTTCTATATTCTAGGTGAGGAAATATACTTTAACTTGTCAAAAATTTTATGTATTTGGCAGATGAAATTGTGAGGGAGTGTGCCATGAGATCCAATGGAGTTATTAACGATACTGTTTAGAGCTACAGGGCCCTTGAGAAGAATTCCCAGTGAAAACCTAATGCCCCCCAAAAATGTTATCTTGTTTTCCTTAGGGTCCGTGAATGGGTTCACATTTAATTAATTTTACTTAATTTTAAAATAAATAAATAATAAATATAGTTTCCAGGATGATTTTTCTTATTTTTGGAGCTTTTACTATTCCCGGATAAAAACTTACCTAAACATTTTTGGGAACAGAGGAGGGCGTCAGCTAACTGCACCTCTTTATATACATACTCTGTGGTGGTGTTCAACCTTGCCGTTAGCAGCAAGATAAATTAGGGAATTTGGCTTTTTTCCTCACCTAAAGGTTAACATGTACCATGTCATATGCTGCTTTGGAGGTCTCACTCAAAGAACCATTTATTGATGAGCATTCACATAGCAGATTACTATACTAGGTTCTATAAGAATTAAATACATATGTTAATAGATTAATAAAAATGTGGGGAGGAATGGGAAGATAAAAAATGAGAAGGAATAAGCCCTTTTTTTCTGATAATACTTTATATCTAGTAGTAAATATGTATGATACATATAATTAGATAGTTACAACACTAAATTTTTAATTTACCATAGATAGCAATGGGTAAGACAGTGAGCTTTGGCACCAGATAGGCTTGAGTTTAAATTACAGTCTGTCCTTGATTAATAGCCTATATGGGCAAATTCATTAACCTCGCCAACTCTCTGTGTCTTTACCTGTAAAGTGGGATAATAAAAGTACCCGTTATAGGTTTGTTGCGAATATTAAATAGAGGAATGCTCATAAAGCAAGTTGCCTGGAAAACACCAACCACTCAGCAGTCATAGGTATTATCAGCAGTAGTACCAAAGGAAAAGAAATATTTCAAGTGTTTATGAAAGTTAAGAGTTTTCTCTTTTCTCTGATAAAAACCTAGTAACCTCTAATTACTTATGGGATTCAGAGCAGGTAATAGTGAATGAAGAGGTGTACATCACATTGATAACCCAGGCATCATTCATTGGTGCATTCACTTAAGTAGATGTTAGTTGTACATCTACTATGTGGCATGTCAGGTCATTGCTAGCACTAGGATGAAAAAGTGAACGTGAGAAACATGATCTCCTCAACTTAGGTAATTTACAGTGTAGTCATGAGATCGACTCATTTTAAATCAGCAAATAAATAAAACAACTAGAAACAGTGGCAAGTACTATAAAGGACAGGCTGAGTGCTGAGGTAGAGAATAATGTCATTTAGGCAGGAGAGTCAAAGAAGGCTTCCCTGAAGAGGTGACTTCAAGGTGAGATCCAGAGCATGAGAGGAGCCAGCCACACACAGAGGAGAGGCCCCAGAGCATGTGCAGAGGCCTTGAGGGGAAATGCATGTAGTTTATTTCATCATTGTTATCAGTGGACATTATCATCAAAAACTATCCTGCTGCAAATAAGGAGTTGTAATTTCGATAAGTTCATGCTTGTCTCGTTTAACTTTTATCACCAAACTAACTGGTATTTCAAGAAGTTATAAACCCAGTGGTTTCAATATTTTTGAAAGCAGATGTCATTTGTATACTTTAAAAAATCAAACTATAACAGCAACAAAACTTTTTGGCTTCTCATTTTGAGAGTTAATGAGAAAGGCAAAAGATTTATATGATCTAAAGAGAAATCAGAATATTGAGAGTTAAAGTAATAAAGCCAAATATGTTGGCCACACATAGTCATTACTCCTTGTAAAGGGAGAAGCCGGACCTAAAAATAATAATACTATAAGTAGATACTAGGTTAGGAAACTTGAAATCGACATTATCAGACCCACAGTAATATATTCTATTTTATATCATACTGTATCTGGGTCATCATACAATACCCAGAATAAATTTTTTGTCTTTGGAGAGCCACATTTAGGTCGGCCACTTTCCACTGGGATGCTAGATTGCTCCTGGGAACAAGCACACCACAGCAGGATGAAGACCAGAGTGGGTTTGGAAATAAAAGGAGAGAAAGGAATTGGATTCAGAGATAATACCCTCATCCTAACTTAAAATATGAAATGTCCAATAACTCCACAAAAATCTCCTAAAACCTAATAGCACTTCTAATAGCTCTTCTGAAATACCCATCCTCCCCTCAGGACCTAGCAATCTTGCTAGAGTTATGTGAAATATGTTTTCAAAAAGCATTGTCTAGACCAGCTCTTTTTCTACCTTTTCATTTCTGCACCACACCTTGTAAAATTGTTTCAGCTTTATAGCCCTGTCCTTGTAAATACATTCAACTCTCAATTACCCTCACCAATGAAGGGGAGCATTAGTGCAGATAATTGAAACTGGTAAATAATCTGCTCTATTGGGCTAGAGCCAGCTCCTCCTACCCAGGCTGAGTATTTTTTTGTGTGTAGGAAGAGGAGGAAAGGCCTCTGTTCTGAGAAAGAGCCTCAGCTGAAAAAGAGTTTTGTCTTCCACCTTTCTAGCTAGATTGAAGTCAGGTCTATACTGCCTAAAGACTTCTAAAGCATACTCAGAATCACTGCATGTCATACTACCCCAAAGACCTTTATGTAGATTGGAACGTTGGCGTATCAGAGTCAAGAATGAGCTGTATAAGAGCCAATGATGATTTTGCAAGTAAATATCAACTGGACATGCCAACTGCTATATAATTCTTAACAAAGCTGCGACTTAGTTCAGCAAGGAAATAGAAGCACAGTCTAGCATGCCTCCTAATTTTTACTTTGTTTTATTACTTTTCTATCACAGGATATCACAGGCAGCTATTGGTATTTAGGGCATTTTTCTCCTTGTGGAATGTCAACAGGGGCTATCTAAGTTTTAATATACTCTTTAAAAAATAATTAATATCACCAAAGTTCTCAAGACACAACAGCTTCTTTGTGAGAGGTTCTGAGTGGTGATGAGTCATAGAAGCAAAGATTGCTGATATGAAGTGATCAATTGGAGAATCATGAGTCAATCAAGTGGTTCTTCCAGGATCATAAACCCCGAGAGCAAAGCTCAGTCCATTGTAAAGATTATCACAGCCCTGAAACTGAGCTCATCCAGACATCACGATCGATCAGAATCTGTTACGTTCTCCCCAGCTGCTCTTTATCTGCTGCTGGACGATCCTTCTCTTTTTCCCATCGTCAACCAACTTCATTTCAGTTTTACACACCTTTCCCGTTTATTCTTTCTTGCTCCTCTTTTGGATGTTATCTTTTTGTTACCTTCCCTGATTCTCATTTGCTATTCTCCTCTTTCTTTTGTAAAATTCATTTCCTTACTAATTTACTCCCCAAATCTTAGGTTTAATACTTTCCTTAGCTTTCTACCCCAATATCTTCACTTTCTTTACTCCCCTCTGCCCTGACCTCCTGCATTCTGATTAGATGCCATATGTATAACAAGGTAGACAGATGCTTTGCTGTTAAGCTAAAGGGCTTTTTAATTTACCAGAACAGAAACCACGAGCTTTCTTTTTGTTTGGGGACATCAGCAGTTCATGGCAAAGGGCTTAGGAATACAAATGAGGGTTTTTCTCTTCAAGCAGCATGGAGTCTCAGCATGCCTCTCGTCCTCTCTCCTTATTTTACTTGATCTGCAAAGTAAAAATCTGCACATTTGATGGATTCGTAAATACCACTAATGACACTTAGATCTCCGGACACACAGTGCTTTAAGCAGTAGGGGCAGCCAGCCACGCAGCCTATGTCTGTGACTGTCAATGCATTTTACCTATTATCTCTCTACATATTCTTTTTTAAATCTGTGACCATCAACAGTGTTTATTTTGATGGGTTTCTCAACTTTGCCTAAACTGAAAGTGTTTTGTTTTTCTCTGGCACTCTGTGTGTAATCAGAGATGGCTTGGGTACACAGAGAAGGCCCACAGACAGCCTATCAGACCACAGAGCCAGAACATGCCTGTGGTCTGACAATCACCCTGTAGGGTTCTCCCAGTGCTAACTCTGATCCAAGAGAAAGGAAGATGAGGAGAACAGCCAGCAATTTTAGGACAAGGCCACACAGACAAAAACTGCTGTGACTCCAGAGTGTGTCTGGAGAGGAGGCTTGCAATGAAAGGCAGCTTTTCTCTCTCTTTGGGGTAGAGTGCTTCACCTGCCACAGTGATGGTGCCCCACTGCTGACTGTCCAGCAGGTAATAGCATGGGGTTCAGAAGAAGGCTGCTATGGAAGCAGAGGTATCTGTCTATGCCACACCTAGAGCCCTTCACAAGGAGTGTGTATCCCCCAGTCACCAGGAGCTACAGCAAAACAAGTGCTCAACAAATAATCCACAGCCATGAATTTTAAAATATCTTATGACATTGTTCTTGACTGTAGTTTTGCTCCTGTAGACATTTGTAACATGACTTTGTGACTTTGCACTTAGCATTGGTAATGTGTTGTCTTTTTTTTTTTTTTTTTTTTTTTTGTTACTGTATGGATTTCCCAAAAAGCCCTCGAAGGGAAATAGAGCAAGTAGTAGTTTCCATATTTTACAGATGTGGAAACTGAGGAATAGGTGAGGCAGCATCCTTTCCACACAGAGGCACTCAAAGAAATGATTACAATTGAACAGCCAGTCACATTCCTTTTTTTTTTTCCTTACAGGGGGAAAAAAGAGTTGATCTTTTCCACATGAATGAGATTGGACACTCTCTCAAGCCAAGTGCTGTGGGACTCAGACAGAAAGGGCCACCTGTTATGGAGGTGACTTAGGTCAGGAGATAATTCTCAGCTGTTCAAACAAATAAACTTCAACACCACAGGTCACTTCCTTTACCTGCTCTTTGTGTCCGCAGCACCCTGCCGTGCCGCCAAGCCATTTACCCCTTTTAATTGAGCAGACGTGGCTTTTTTTCTGCCTGTGCTTTTTTCTGGCTTGTTACTGCCATGGCTAACAATTAACACTATGATAAAAATGAATGCTTGCTACATATGCCAAATGATATTACCAACAAGGGGGCTTGTGTGAGAACTCGCAGGTGCTGTGTAAATCCAATTTGTGGGACTCAGACTGCCCAGAATTACACAAAGATAGCAGGGACCGCTGCCCTCATGGAACTTGGCAAAGCACACTGCACAAAGGAATAGATAGCTATTGTGTCTCTCACAAAGAACGCTCTCTGGTCAGTCAGAAGGCCCAGAAAATCAGTCCTTCAGTTTTCTAAGACAAGCAGAATATATGATGTGGAAATCTCCAGCTGTGTGGCCAGGGAAGTCCAGAAACTGGACCTGCCTAGGGGGCAGAGTAAGATGCATTCTCCCCGGGAGCCGGCAGTGTCCCTATGGAGCAGAACCACCGAGTCACAAAATTCTCAATTCTCAGCTCGCTAAGCTATTCTGGTCGCTTTGAGTTAGCTATCTCCTTACTGTTCCTCTCCAAGAAAGCTTCTTCCACCCCCACACACTTCAGAACTTCTGTTCACTTTCAAGTTTCTTTCTTTTTTTTTTTTTTTTGTTCTTTTGTTAAGATCATTTCTCTTCAAGTCTTTCAAAGCTTCTTTGAGGGTTCTCAGAAACACAAAGCACTCCTTTTGGATTGTATTCCTGGTTATTTCAAGGAAGTGGCTGAGAATAAGATACGTGTGTGCCTGTGTGCACACAGCCCCCTGCATCCAGAGCATGCGGACCCTGGCCTGTGAGTGTGCAGGGGCATCCCTGATTGATCCAGGGCAGATAACCTGTGGAGTCTAAGGCAAGATAGGTTTTCATTCTTGCACTGCACTTGTTTGTCTCTGTAATTGTGTAAAAGTTGTACCGCCAATCTTCCTCCCTGTGAGGTCAAGATAATATATTGCTCTCCTCACTTCATTTTTTTTTTTCACAGGTGAAAGGACTATGGACTATAAATTCTGGCAACTATATTGCCTGATCTTTAAATATCCTATGCATAAGCACATAGCGCTTAAACACACTTCCTTGGATCCTCAACACACCCATTCTACGCTTCAATTCTACACTTAAGTGGGTGTGTCGGGGATCCAAGGAAGTGTGTTTAAGCACTCTGTGCTTATGCATGGAATATTTCTGGAACTCCAGCCCCACCACTTACAAGCCATGTACCCTGTTTCCTCCTATAAAATGGATAATGTGATACTATCCACTGCATAGGATTATCAGGAGAGTTAATGAGCAGATCTAGAAATAGCTCTCAGAACAGTGTCTGGCATCTTAGTATAGCCCCATACATGTGAACAATGATGTTATTCCTCTTCGGACAACTTAGATCCAGCCTCACAAGTCTTTTTCATTCTTTCAATACAGCAAGGTTTTCTCTATCTCAGGACACCAAGGTCTTTTCACTTGCTGTGCCCTCTATTCCGACGGTTCTTTGATTGCTCACTGCCCCCATCCCAACACCATCTCATGTTCAGTTTTATCTCATCCTTCAAATCTTACCCAGAGGAGGGCCTTTCCTGACCATTGAGTCTAAGCTACATCGGCTTTCCTGCTATCCTCTGCCTCAGTATCTTGTTCATTGTTTATAGTACCTGCCAAAGTTTAAAATGATTGTTTATTTCTTTAAATGCGTATGGTCTTTCCCAGTTGATTGTGATAGCTTTGTGGGCAGTGACCATGTCTGTCTTATTAACTATTGGATTTCCTTCACCAGTTCATTAACCCAGAGTATATTAATTTAGGGTTTACTTAATGCCAGACACTTTCCTAGGCACCATTAGATATAAGAATGAAACAAACAAACAAACAATCCCTGCCTTCATGGAGGTTACAGTTTAGTTGGAAACATAAAAAATAAACAAATAAGAAAAATATATAGTATGGTACATATTGGTAAGTGCTAAGGGGAACAAGAAAGCAAGAAAAGGGGACAGGGAACATAGGGGGAGGGGCTGCAATTTTAGATAGGGACTCCAGGAGAGGTCTTACTGTGCCTAGGGGAAGGAGGGGAGAAACCGGTGGAGAGAAGGGCAGCCACAGAGGCTCTGAGGTGGGAGCTTACCTGGTGGCTTTGAAAAATAAGGAGGAAATCTTTGAGGTATAGTAGAGCAAGTGAGAGGAGACTAAATGAGGATGGGTTCAAGAGATGCTGGAGGATCATGTGTGGCAATGTATGAGGACCTATGCTTTTACTCTGCATGAACTGAGGAGCCTTGGAGAAGAGGATTGAATGAATGACTTAGTTTGTAACAGGATCATTCTGACTGCTGAGTTGAGAATAGACTGAAGAAGGGCTAGAACAGAAGCTGAGAGACTAATTAGGAGACTGTTTCAATAATCTAGAGGTAAGATAATAGAAACTCAATAAGTACTTGCAAGTAAATAAATACTCTTAGAAGACTACGAGTCTCTATGGGTTAGTTTGGGTATTGGCACACTGAGGTTCTGAAACCAGGGCTTCTTATACACCCTTGTGTTTCTTTGTATTCCACTAATAATATATGACCTATCCCCATCACCCTCAAAGCTGCAAAAGAGAAAATGTTGGCGATGATGGATAAAGCCAGAGAGAGTTATGATGTAAGACATTCAGCCAGTGTTGCTCTAAAGCAGTGCCTGCTTTTGATCTGTGAAACAGGCATTTCTTTCTCCTTCATCACTTAGAAGCAAAATGAGCATCATTTTCAATACAGAGAAAAAATAGGGAGACAAAAAGAACTGGAAAAAAAGGAACAAGAAACTTCCGTCAGCATGTAGAGTGTCAGCAAGAGCCATTGGACATCAGGGTTCTGATTCAGGTGAACTGGTCTTTTTACTTTCTTATTCTTTAACCCAAGGGGAAATCTCTTACAGTTTTTACTGCTTATGCATGGCTTTTCTAGCTTCATAAGAATTTGCTAAATATTTAACTACTAGCATTTGACTCTAGTCAATAACAACAAATTCAAGAATAACTAGGTCTTTGAGACTTCTAGACCATAAATTCATTTTAAAATAATTATTGGCAAGTGGAGAAGATCCAAAACTCCATTTAGATAAGAATATTTATTTTATCTGATGCGATTTTTAAAAAGTTCTTTAGGGTTTTATAAAATTAAGTGGTAAATACACAAAGTCATCTTAAAAGGAAAAAAATAATGCAAAGATAACTATGTACTATTTTTTAATTTATGCAACATCTCTGTGACTACATTAATAAAACCTACCATATTCATTGAATACAGACTTTCTCACCTCCAGTTTTTCTCTAGAGTTAAGAGAAGAAAAGCATCCATAGGAAGTGTGTTGGCAGGTATGGAAAAAGGAGGGAGTGCAAAATAGCTCCCTGAATTGATTGCCAAAGATGAGTTGAATCTAATCTTTGCTCCTGTGTTCTGTAGCACAGAAATTTTATTTTGGATTAGAGTAAAGCTTTCTGGGCTGAAAATCATATTTTAAGGTAAAGAATGAGATCTAAAAATGTTGTTCCTGCCAGTATTGGGAGAAAAAAATTTTAAAGGCAAATTTGAGCCTTTAAGCCCTGAATATCAGAAAAATTTCTTCTATTAAATATACCTTTATATTTACAGGTAGTGCATTGGAAAGGTCATGGTTCAATGGTATATTAGAACACAAGAATAGACAACCTTACTCCAATAATCTCACAGTTTTTATTAATTCAGTCTTCCTCAAAAGACTTGGGAACATTTCCTAAATCTTTCTTGTTCCCATTTATTTTCCATCAGCATTGGTACCCATTTACTAGAAGACGGTGATAGGTTGTAAGACTGTTCTCTGTGGAAATGACTGAGCACTACTCCAATGTTGATGATGTTTCTGCCAAGCCCCCATATGTCTTAAGTTTCCCGAATGGACATATAAAACATAATATATAGTTCTGTTGTTTCTTTCAAAAGCCTGAACTTGCAAAATATTTCTGGTGGTAAGCATCTCACAGGTCAGTACTCAGTCCCATTCTGACTACTGTAGGATATTTAAAGATCTGAAATAGCAGATAAGTGTAGGGAAAGCAATGCTTAAGAGGAGAAAGCTTAGTATAAAAGCAGACGATGAAATAGACATGAGGACATCTAGAATGAGCAGCAAGTAAGAAAGAAGATAGGAAAGTAATAGAGATTTTTAAAAATTTGCTTTTCCATCACTCAACATTTTCTGAAAGTGTTAGCTTACTGGGTCAGTTGCTGAGCTCCTTTGCCAAAAACCAAACAGAAAAAATACAAATAAACTATAAAAGAAAGATGAAAAATGTATTTCAAAGAAAAGAAAGTCAGGGATAAAACGAAGTAGCAGTTTGTAAGGTAACAAAACTGCAAGACACAGGCAATCTGAGGGAGAGAGAGAGAGATGCATATAGCGAGAAAAACTGAAAATCAAGGAAAGAGGAAGAGGGACCTCTAAAAAGAAGCAACAGATAGAAAAATACAAGAAGGACAGAGACACTTAAGACAGCTGGGAAGAGCTTGAGAAAAGTCACACATGCCCTGTGGGCTTCCAGCTACACAAGAGCTGCAGTGGACTGTCAGGGCAGATAAACAGTGGAGAGTGGAATGGAATACAATTTACAACTTGCTTGTCATCTGGGAAGGGAGCTGAGATGAATCGCACACCCCTCTTAGGTTGTCAGGATTTACAGGGGGACACACCTTGGCCTCATTAGCAAGCAGCAAATGGAGAAGGGTATCACCATTTTCAGGCTTCCCTAGGAGGTCTGAGCTTCTGTGCTGCATTGGCTACATTCAGCCATTAGAGCCTTTATTTTCTTCCCAGTGGATGTGTGAGCTAGGTTCTGGTTAACCATGGCAAAGAAGCAATGGTCTTTGGAAAGTGGGGAATTTCCAAGCCAAAATAGTTGGTTTTTAGTTACAAGGAAAGCATAAACACGTTATCTGACTGTACGTGGACTTTCAAACAAGAGGTAACTCTATGTACAGCAAATTTTAATCCCTCATCTATTAAAAAAAAGAATGCAGTGAGGGCTCATGACATTATCTGCCACATCTCCAGGAGAAACTAGCACATTTAAATGAGTTTTGGATAAGGAAAAGATGCACAGATGTGTGGAATCAACAACAGAGGGTGACATTCAACAGAACTAAATTGTTTCCATTTTACCTCAGATGTTCAGTGCCTTTCTAGTTTCCACACATTGTGAACAAAACCATAATTCTCATGTTGGGAGAGAACCATGAATTTCCCAGATAGGAGGACTGAGTGTATGAGTAGGTATGCCTCACTCGGCCTAGACTATGCTTAAGAGGAATGTGATTTAGCATCAATCATTTTAAACTTGGTCACATTTTTGGCAGTGTGCCTGGTGCCAGAGCTGTAGCTCAGACCACTGATATTTGATGGGATATTCATATCCTGTTTAAAAGCCTGTGAAATACAGCCCTTTGTCCTGAAAAGGAATAATGGACTGGAAATAGATGTTAATTGTTCCTCAAAGGTAATGCTTTTGATTTTCTCAAAATCAGAGTAACAGAATGGCCATCCAACTATGAGAAAATGTGATAACACAGTTCTTTTCCAGTGTTGGTCGGTTCTGTGCTTTGTGTGGAGAAGAAGTAGAGTGGGAAGGGCAGCTGGTTGGCTTGCGACAGAGATTGGGGGAACCTAGAGGTTTGTGTCTTATTCAATATTTTATTTACGTAATTACCTGTAGATTTAAAAATCCACGTGTTCCATAAATTACAGCAAAATGCAAGAAACTATGTCCAATGAGGCTTCCCTCTGCTTCTCCAGGAAACATCCCAAATGCCTGCTACTATTGGTTTATCAGTTACGAGATCCTTCCCACGGAGCAATGGGAGTGATGGGACAGCAAGCATTGGCATTATTATGGAATGCTGCCATTCCACTGGCTGTTTATCATGTTCTATATTATCTCAGTGCTATCTCCACTCATTGATAGCACCATGTATTGGAATCAGAAAAATCAAATTAGTCCTTCTTTCCTTCTAAAGGCGATGATACTTCACTAGAGCTTTTCTGCTTAACAAAATGTGCAACTGCACATGCACACAGACACACACATATGCACACTAAAGATATATGCCAGTGTGTAAAGGGGATTTGGGTAGAATGTATAAATGTTCTCTTTAGGCATTGCTGCTATAAGATGAGAGAGAGAGAGAGAGAGAGCAACAGAGAGAGAAAGAAGGAGAGACAGACAGAGACAGAGAGAAATGAGATCCTTATTTGGTTATGTTCAGACTGGAAACTATGGGTTTCCCACAAGATAGTGTCTGTATCTACACGGCATCAGATATCTTCCAAAACTAGAAAAAAATCTGAAAATGGTTCAGTCATATAACGCATAGTATAGACAACTCTAGATACATACTCATTTGGATATCTGATGGGTTTTCAACTCTCATCAATAGGTGTGTCATTCTTGGGATGCGTGTGTGTGTGTGTGTGCGTGTGTGTGTGTGTGTGCACGCACCCATGTGTGTAGCACAACTAAATTATCCCTTTTTGGGGCTGTTAAGATTTTTTTTTTTTTTTACATCAAATGGATATCCTGGGATCATCTCATTTTCAGGCCTATGTAAATAAGCTGGATAGAATTGGAATGATAACACCAGAATGACTGTCCCCTTCCTTTGAATCTTGCTTATCTTGTGGTGTGAGACAACTTTGCCACTGCACTTCTTTTCATTAAAAGTGGAAACTGTCTCATTTCCTTTATCAGTGGTGTAATATCAACATCCAAGCTCTCTAATTTAAATGACACACAAGCCAGCACAGCTTCCCTTATATCTTCTCACTTTTTGCACAAATTCCATGAACTCTACTGCAGAAATGGGACACAATCTCTTCTGAGGCAAGCTTGAGTTTTCTCTTTTCCTTTGACTTTGAAACTTTCAAGCTTTATATTTTTTTTGCTTTCCTAAGAATTTACAAGTTCATGAAGATACAGGAATGGGAAGGATAAATGTGGAAAGCAAAAAAATGAAAACAAAACACATATAGACAGGAAATAAAGAAGAGATTTTTTTATTGTGACAACAGGAAGAGACAACTGGAAAAAGCTGCAGCTGCAGCCAGAAGAACAAGTCAACATAACTATTATAAAAATAGAGAGCTTTGGGAGGCTGAGGCGGATGGATCGCCTGAGGTCAGGAGTTTGAGACCAGCCTGGCCAACAAAATGGAACCCTGTCTCTATTAAAAATACAAAAATTAGCTGGGTGCGACGGTATGTGCCTGTAGTCCTAGCTACTTAGGGGGCTGAGGCAGGAGAATCACTTGAACTCAGGAGGCAGAGGTTGCAGTAAGCTGAGATCGTGCCACTTCACTCAGCCTGGGTGACAGAGCAACACTCTTATCTTAAAAAAAAAAAAAAGAAAGAAAGAGAGAGGAATGGATTACAGAAGAGGACAAAGAAGATAGGGAGACAACAACAACAAAAATACAAAGCAAATGGAGGTAGTAAATGAGCCTGGGAGGGAAACTTATTTAGGGTACAATATGTTAGTGGAAGAAATAAAAGATGCTCAAAGCCTTGTCCCTAAATATGGTTATGTGAAATTTTCAAAGATGGATTAAATAAAACAGTTTATTGTCAGGGAACAATTAAAAGTCAATAGTAAGAAACAATAGGAAATAAACTAGAGTAATCTGGAGGAAGCTGAAAAGATATAAAAATAGCTACAAAAAGAGAGCAACCATATAACATAAATCAACCTTCCTCTGTTCACACCCCAACTCCATTCCACCTCTTGATCTCTTTCTGTGCATGGAATACATATTTTGACTTCTCATTTTGTATATTTACATATACCTTTTTGTAGAAAAGAAAGAACTATCAATGTTTAGAAACATCCATTTACCTTAGGGAAACACCAATTTCAGCTCCTATTTAAAATATCACAAGTATGAGCTTTCCTGACAGTTATTTAACCTATGATGACAGGTTACAAACTTCAAATAAGAAACAATGACTACAGGTTTATTTATTCTACAAACCATATACTCTTCATATATAAATAAGTATTTATGGAAACTCATTCCTTTGCTATTGTTTACCTGTCACTCAAACATGTCTTTTTGTAATCAACTTTAATGTCAACAAGCCACAGCTTCATTAATTTGATGCCTTTTGATTTGGTGGAGGAAAAGCTGGAAATGGAAGAAGTTGTTCTGTATTATATCAAATCTGGAAACCCTATCCTTGTTATCCTGAGAGGTATTTGGCTCTATCAGCACCACCCCCTGGCTTTCCTGGGTCTTTGTAGCACACATCCTGGCTTCTGGTCAGCATCAGAGGGGCCCTCAGAGATACCTAGTGATATAGTTTGTATATTTGTCCCTGCTCAAATCTCATGTTGAATTGTAATCCCTAGTGCTGGAGGTGGGGCCTGGTGGGAGGTGTTTGGGTCATGAGGGTATATCCTCATAGCTCAGTGCTATCTTCATGATAGGGAATTCTCACGAGACCTGGTCATTTAAAAGTGTGTAGCATCCTGCTACTTTCTCTCTCTGTCTCTCTCTCTCTCTCTGTCTCCCTCTCTTTCTCTCTACTGCTTTTTCCATGTGAGGTGCCTGATCCCACTTAGCCTTCCACCATGATTGTAAGCCTCCTGAGGCTGCCCCCAGAAGCAGATACCAGTGCTGTGCTTCCTGCAGAACCATGAGCCAGTTGAACCTCATTTCTTATAAATTACCTAGGCTCCGGAATTTCTTTATAGCAATGCAATAATAGCCTAGCACAACTAGCATCCTTGCTGGTCTGAGGACTTTAGTTTCAGTTCACTACCCAGACAGAGGGGTTGATCACAGAGAGAAAATGCATGCCCAGCCCTGGGGTTATGAACTGTTCTGTTTTTGTTTTTTCTGAGATACAGTCTCCACCTGTCACCCAGACTGGAGTGCAGTGGTGTGTTCTCGACTCACTGTAACCTCTGCCACCGAGGTTCAAGTGATTCTCATGCCTCAGCCTCCTGAGTAGCTGGGATTACAGGCATGTACCATCATGCCTGGCTGATTTTTGTAGTTTTAGTAGAGATGGGGTTTCACCATGCTGGCCAGGCTGGTGAACTGTTTTAAAAAATGGTGCCTTCCATTGGTCCTTCAAGCCATATTAGTAATTGGGCTCTCTGGAGCTACCCCAATCTTTCTCTTTTTCTTTGAGTTATGACATAAATAAAAAGCTAGTGTCTTACAGCTAAGCTGGGAAGAAGTGGACATTCCACCTGTGGATCATTTGCATTTAAACCACTATTGAATTATAATACACTACTACAACTGTTGTATTCTCCATGAGGCATGTTTTTGTGCCTGAAATAACTCACTAAAAATACACCGTAATTTGTTTCTACTCAATAATATATAAAGAGTTATGTGTAGTATTTTATCTACTCATGTATTAGCCACATCCATGTCACCAAAATTTTGCTTTCCCTTAGAAAACTGTGTATGAGTGTGTGTTTGTATGTAAGTGATAAAGGTTTGCTTATACACATAATCCTGGAAGAAATTGTGGAAAATTCTGGCTCCTTCAGATAACCGTAAATTTTTCTAAAAGAAGCTGAGGTTCTTTATCTGGAAATGGCACAGATAATATTTCTCTTGGTATTATATCTCAGAAGAGGGCCTGGCACTATTCATGAAATGGCAGTTCTTGACATTATGATACCTGCACTTGCCCTGTAGAAGAGCCTTTTTTCCCTGAACAGAGCAAGTATTCCCAGATTCATGGACAGACCTAGTGCTTTGACCTTTTTCAGACAGCCCATGTTGGCCCTCACTCCACTCCCCATGCCTGCTTAAGCAGTGCCCTCCCATCCCAAATTGTCACCTTGTCTATGATGGTAAAATATGAGCACAGGAGCCCAGCAATAAGGTACTTGGACTCCCACCTCTCAACACATTGAAAGCTGGCATACATCAAAGAAACACAACCACCTAGGTCAAGCAAGTCAGTTGCTTCAAAAGAAAAGAAAGAAGAAGACAATGAGCAGTATTTAAAAAATTCCTATGCTTTTTCTGAGGGATATTGAAATGAGGGTCTATTACCAAACTAAACTTTTGAAGGATATTATGAAATGGAGGAATGAGAACTAACAACCAGTAGTGAGAGGTAAAAGCTTTTGATCAGCCAAGGAAAAAGTGAAAAAGAAGCTTCCAAGGATAGTCAAGAAAGGAGAATCTAAATGACAGATGGCCACAAGGCTGCAGCAGGCTTGGTTCAGGATACACACTGACTTTAATGGAAATACACATGCAGTTCTTAATAGAAATGCATCCAAAATTTTTCTATAACTATTTGCAAATATATATTTCTGTTCAGAAACTATACAAATAACGAAGTTGGTTTGGGGGGAATGTGAGTATGCTGTGTTTTGTAATAACTCAACCCTGTCACACACACCTCCCAAAGTCACCCAGTGCTTAACTTCAGGGTTGTCTTAAATGGCTCATATGAGACTTGAGTACTAGTCTTTAGTCACTATACTTATTGTGTGACCTTGTAGGAACCTCAGTTTGTCTCAGCTTTATTATTGATAAAAATGTGGTTGGTGGCAATGCTGCTCATCAAACAGAGATAACTTGAGAACTAAATGCATAATAAAGTGGGTTTAATTCTAAGATGTGAGGTAGTAAGGCAAAATATATAAAGCCTTTAAAGATAGGTACCATATAAACTTCACATAGGATTGGAAGCTTGTCTATTCTCCTGCCTCTTGTAATATATTCTTTATACTCTCCTATGTTATAGAAGTCTATAAAATGTTTGGAGGATATACAATTTGTATGAAAAGGGCGGCAGAAAAGAAAGATGATTCATTCTAAACATATATAACCCACAAGCCTCCCTCTCATCCCATTAAGTTGCAAGGGAGAAAATCATCCTTACCTGATATACAGCATTGGACTTAAAAGTCAATGGGAATGGTTCACAGGGATCAGCAGCCAACGTATGCTTCATAATTTGTGTATTAATTTGAAAAATATTTTCAAATGGTTCATGGTGAGCAGTCTCAAGTTGATTGCAGTATCATTGGGAAAAATAAAAGACTGAATTGTGTCTCTTGTGAAGGTTAAATTGAAGAGATGCTTGCCTTGGATCTGCCTTTCATAAAACGTTAAGGGGTGAGCCTTAAAAAGCAGATAAAGTAAAAGAAGCAGTGAGCGATCTTACCTCCTTCCCAAGGTCACATTTCACCAAAATGACTCTCCTTTTCAGGTTTCAATATAGAGTGCTTCTGGTGCATAATGGCCTCAGTGTGGTCTGAACTTGGAACTTTTTCTAATTAAATTTTGAAGTGTTTAGTGTGTTTTCATTTTGATTTTCTAATTTGATAGGTCTCATTTGTGTCATTACTATGGATTTCTTAAACTCTTGCTTCGGTTATTAATTTTTCAGTTGTCCAAGGCCAAGTCGTTATGCTTTGATGTACACATAACAGGGAAGAGAAGTGGAGAAATTATCCAGAGAATTTAAGTCCAAAAAGCATGATCATCTGAAAAAGCACTTGAAATAAAGTGGGTGGTTTTCCTAAATTACACGGGTGATGCATTGACTCTCCACTTCTCTGGAGACAGTCACACCCTTCTACATTGGGGAATTGCCTCTCATTGTAATGATTTAGAGAAAATCTAGGCAGGGCATTTACAATATTAAGAATGCAATTCATTATTTCATTCTGAAAAAGCCCTCTCATGTCATGAAATCAGTCATCTCTATTGAGCTTTTCCATGTAAAATACAAACGAAAACATCATTAGCCCAGTTTTTCCATTCAGCACCTTAGAATACTATAGCAGGAGATGGTAGGCAAGTTTGCCTGCTGACATAAACTCTCAGAGGGCTTCCTTCGTAATTCATGACAAATAGATTCCTAGCTCTATAGGCCAGAAAACTGGGCTGACTATTGCTTATGAAAATCTATCTGATATGGTAAGTGGGCTTTGTTTAGTTTAGTTTTTTTTCTTACAGTAGACATTTTAAAAAATGTTAATTGACACAATAATGGTACATATTTATGGGATACAGTAGGATATTTTGATACATGAATGCAATGTGTATTGATCAAACTGAGATAATCAGCATATCCTTCACCTCGAATATTTAGCATGTCTTTGTTTTGTGGACATTCAGAATCTCCTCTTCTAGCTATTTGAAAATATACAATAAATTATTGTTAACTACAGTCACCTTACTGTGGTATAGAACACTAGAAATTATTGCTCCAATTGAATTGTAATTTTGTATCTGTTAACCAGCCTCTCCCTATTCTCCTCTTTCCTCTACCCATCTCAGCCTCTAGTAACCACTATTGTACTCTCCACTTCTAGGAGATCAACTTTTTTAGCTTCAATATATGAGTGAGAACATGTGGTATTTATCTTTCCATGCCTGGCCTATTTCAGGTAACATAATGTCCTCCAGTTACAACAATGTTGTTTTGTAACAAATGACAGGATTTCACCCCCCCCCTTTTTTTTTTTTTGAGATGGAGTCTCGCTCTGTCGCCAGGCTGGAGTGCAGTGGCGTGGTCTTAGCTCACTGCAACCCCTGCCTCCTGGGTTCAAGCGATTCTCCTGCCTCAGCCCCCCAAGTAGCTGGGACTACAGGCGTGTGCCACCATGCCCAGCTAATTTTTTGTATTTTTAGTAGAGACTGGGTTCCACCAGGATGGCCAGGATGGTCTTGATCTCTCGACCTCGTGATCTGCCCACCTCAGCCTCCCAAAGTGCTGGGATTGCAGGCGTGAGCCACCGTGCCACGCCAATTTCACTCTTTTTATTGGCAGAATAGTATTCCATTGTGTAAATGTGCATTTTCTTTATCCATTCATCTGCTGGTGGATACTTGGCTTGATTCCATATCTTGGCTATTGTGAATAATGTTGCAGTAAACATGGGAATGTAGATATCTCTTTGACATATTTATTTTATTTTCTTTAAATATTTACCCCATAGTGGAATTGTGAGATCATATGATAATTCTATTTTCAGTTTTTTGAGGGATCTCCAGACTGTTTTCCACAATGGCTGTATTAATTTACATTTTCACAAACAGTTTATGAGTTACCTTTTCTCTGCATCCTCACCGGCATTTCTTATTTTTGTCTTTTTGACAATAGACATTCTAACTGGAGTAAGATCACATCTCATTGTGGTTTTGATATCTCCCTGGTGATTAGTGATACTGAGCATTTTACACATACTTATTGGCCATTTGTGTGTCTTCCTTAGAGAACTATCTATCTAGATCATTTGTCTATTTTAAAAATCAAATTATTTATTTATTTTGCTGTTGAATTCCTTGTATATTCTAGATATTAAGCTTTGTTAAATAAATAATTTATATTTTTGCCCATTCTGTAGGTTGTCTCTTCATTCCATTGATTTTTTTTTTCCTTTGCTGTGCAGAATCTTTTTAGTTTGACTTAATCCCTTTTGTCTAGTTTTGTTTTATTTGCCTGTGCTTTTAAAATCTTATTCATAATATTTTCCCATACCAATATCCCTAAGTGCTTCCCCTAAGTTTTCTTCTAGTGCTTTCATAGATTTGGGTTTTACATGTAAGTCTTTAATCCATTTTGAGTTGGTTTTTGTATAACGTGAAAGATGGGTATTTAACCTTCTGCACGCAGATATTCAGTGTGTCCAGTGCCATTTATTGAAGAGACCTTTCCCCTATGTATGTTCTTAGGATTTTTGTCAAAAATCAGTTGGCTGTAAATATGTGGATTTACTTCTGGGTTCCCTATTCTGTTCCATTGTTGTATCTGCCTGTTTTTATGGCAATACCATGCTTTTTTGGTTACCATATCTTTGCAATATATTTTGAAGTCAGATAGATTGATGCCTTCAGCTTTGTTCTTTTTGTTCAGGATTATGTTGGCTATCTGGGGTCTTTTGTGGTTGCATATGAATGCTAAGATTGTTTTTTCTATTTCTGTGTTGAATGCCATTGGTATTTTTATAGAGATTGCACTAAATCTGTAGATCACTTTGGGTGGTATGGCCATTGTAACAATATTTATTCTTCCAATCCATGAGCATGGGTTATCTTCCTGTGTGTGTGTTCTCTTCAGTTTCTTTCATCAGTGTTTTATAGCTTTCAATGTAGAAATCTTTCAACTCCATGGTTACATTTATTTTTAGGGTTTTTTAAAATTTATAACTATTATAAATAAGATTGTTTTCTTGATTTCTTTCTTAGTTCATTCATTAGAATTTTGACATACTGATTTCCTTTCCTGGTACAAAGATGTGCTACTGTTGTTGTATGTTGATTTTGTATCTCACAACTTTACTGAATTTATCAGTTCTAAGAATTTTTTGGTGGAGTGTCTATGTTTTTCTATAAATAAGTTTATGTAATCTGCAAACAGAGACAAACTGACTTTCTCTTTTCCAATTTAGATGCCCTTTATTTCTTTCTCTGGCCTAATTGTTCTTCCTAGGACTTCCAGTACTATGTTGAGTAAGAGTAGTGAGAATGAGTATCCATGTTTTCTTCCAGTTCTTAGAGGAAAAGCTTTTAATTTTTCCTCATTCATTATGAGATTAGCCATGGATTTGTCAAATATAGCCTGTATTTTGTTGAGGTGTATTTCTTCTTTATCTGATTTTTTGGGAGTTTTTACAATGAAAAGATGTTGAATTTTATCACATGCTATTTTCTGCATCTACTGAGATGATCATATGGTTTTGTTCTTCATTCTGTTGATATAGTAGCATACATTTATTGATTTACATATGTTGAAACTTACTTGCATCCCTAGGATAAATTCTGCTTAATCATAGTATATAATCTTTTTGATGTGCTGTTGGTTTTGGTTTGTTAGTGAAATGGGAAAATTTCCCTTGTCCCCCTCACAGGGGATGTGGTGAGGGTGTGGCTCACTTCTTCAGTGCCCCACTGCTCTATCCTCTAGGGAAGCATACAGGCAGGCAGGCTGTGGGACTCCAACTCCATGGCAGTGTCTGGGGGTGAATGTTTACAGCTGAAGCCCCAGTGGGTGTGTGTTACAGGGTGCTCTTTTAGTTTAGCTGTCCATAGGTGACTTGTGGTCAGCTCAATTAGACAAGGACAGAGGGCTTTCTGTATCCTGGGATTCTTGCCTTGGTGTACCAGAAGAATTGGATCATACATGGGCTTGGAGAAGGAGTGCAAAGTTGTATTGACCGGAAGTAGCTCTCAGCAGATGAGGGAGCCAGAAGGGAGATGGTTCTCCCAGGAATTGGGCCTCTTGGTGGCCCGACTCTTCTCTGACTGCCCTGGCCAAACACTCAGTTGTTCTGCCAGTTGGTGACCTGCTGGAGTGCCAGTGCCTGTTGGTGTGTTCCTCTCGAAATCCAGCGGCCCATGTGTCCTCTGCTGATGTTCTCCTCTCGATGTCCAGCCACCTGTGTGTCGGCCTGCTAGGGTCTTGGGGTTTTTATAGGCACAGGATGGGGTTGTGGCAGGCCAGGGTTGTCTTGGGAAATGCAACATTTAGGCAGGAAAACATGAATGCCTGTCCTCACCTGGTACATGGGCACAGGCCCAGGAGTGGAGCCCCAGCCAGGGACCATGCCCTCCTCTATCCAGCACTTCCCTTCTCCTCTTCCATATCATTAGTACATTGCTGAGGATTTTTGCATCTGTGTTTATCAGTGATATTGGCTAGTAGTTTTCTTTATTTATTGTTGTGTCCTTTTCTGGTTTGTTGTCAGAGTAATGCAGACCTTGTAGAATGAGTTTGGAAAATTCCATCCCCTTTAATTTTTTTAGAATTGTTGGAAAAGAATTCATGTTTGTTCTTCTTTAAAAGTTTGGTGGAATTTAGCATGATATGGTAAGCCTTAAAAACATTTGGTTTAATTTTCCTTGCCAGCTCAAAAAGGATGACTGAATGAATACCTTAGTGGCATAGTTGTAAAAATCTGAAGAATAAAACTTTTACCTCATGTGTCTCTGGGTCAGTATATTCTTGGTTCCAGTTGGGGACCCTAGGATCACTGCTGTCTATAGATTTCTTGATGAGAACAAAATGTCTCATTTTTTTCTCAACTCACATATTGATTTTGGAGAGAGGGCCACCCCATTCTGCCCTGCCCTCATAAGACCTGTGTTGTGGAATACATGTTCTTTAAGTTGTTGGGAGGAGGGATGATAATGAGTTGTTAGGGGTCTCAGATAGTGAGGCTTCTACAAGAGTAGCTTTTCCGAGTGAGCTGTGCCCCTCAAGGTGACATGAGTAGCCAGAGAAGAGGACTTTTTGGAAATAGCATCTCAAAGTAGCCAGAGCCTAGGAGTTAGAACTGAGGACTGACAGCTGATGTAGGATTGTGTTATTTGGCAGCACTTGGTAATCACTGAAGGACCTCAGTGTACATAGTGAAACTCTAATTTTATGATTACTGTGATTTTATATATTGATTTAATATTGTTCAGGCTATGGAAGGATGAAAATGTTATTTAGGTATTATAAATAAGGATCCTGTAATATGAAACTTTAAACATATTATTCAGGTTTGTCCAGAAAGTTAGAATAACATTCCATATAAAAACATTTTGTGGTACTGATTTAAATAGCAAAGTCCTACTGCCCATACTATATGAACTTGTGCTACTTTTTTCTGAAAGAGGTCAAATTTCCTTATATAATATACATAGTACATAATGTTAATATTTAAAAGTTCTACATTACTACTAATCCCCCTACCCTCCATGCAGCTAGCATAGGTCAAAAGACAATTAAGATTAGTCGATGGTAAGTTGGCAGAACCTGTAAGGCTCTCTCCTGAGTACTGGAAAGTTAATTGGATAACACCACTGCATTTATCAGAGGCTTACAGCACAAAATACACAGCACATTTGCAAACAGGGAGCTTTTCTATTTCTTTCTTTCTTTTTTTTTTGTATTCTCGCTTTAGAAACAAATTTGATCGAAAAAGGTTGGATGTGTTTGGGCGTTATTAAGTCCCTATAATTGCCCTCAGGCAATACCCTGGACACCGGATACAAAGATGATGAAGACACAAGCTCTACCTCTTATCAACAGAAACAAAATAAAAAACATTACATTCTTGAATGGTAAGACTGAATCGAGAAGCATTCAAGGTACAGTAGGAGTCCATGGTGAGGGTAACATCCAAATCTAAAACGAGATGTGGGAGAAGTAGAGTGGGGGGTAAGGGAAGACTTCACAACAGATGAGAATCTTCTCAAGAATGTTTACCTACTATGAAGGATGGAGTCACACATGGGAGGTCAGGAAGTGGAGAAGGGAATGTAGGGTATTCATTCAAGTAGCTTCTCCACGAAAGAGAGGGAGAGAGAAAACAGGAAGGTGGAAGTGAGGGTGGATTCTTTTTCAAGAGAAGAGATTCTCAAGTATATTTATATTCCGAGAGGATGAAGCCAATAGAGAGGGTAAGTTTGAAGCTAGAGGAGAGGGAGAAAAGAGGTGGTGCAAACAGATCTGAGAAGTGCTGGAGTGGGGAGGATTCTGAATGAGGCTTAGCTTTTGACATGCCTGACAATCTCACCTCCCAAGGCCAAATTAGTTGCAGCCCTGTTCACATATACCTGCCATCCCTCTGTAATTTTTCACCACTGTTGTAAATGTATCCCAGAAATTTGAGTCTGCAAAAAGGTGCCTTGTTTGTCACTTGCTCTACAACTGTGTCTAAATAATGCCACCATCTCTGCCAGAATAAAGAAAGTAATTACTGTTGGCTGTGGACTTAGATTTATTGATCTTCTCCGATAATATTCATGGATGCACCATGGGCTGCAGCTTCCATATTGGGTGCTTAGAGAGAGGCTAAGGGAAGAAAAATGGACTCCCTCATGAGACCCATTCCAGAAATCACAGGCAATTATTACAGATACAGATAGAACAAAAAGGAAGTTTAACATGAGAAAACAGACATACACGTTTTAAGGAAGGATAATGTCACAGTGTTCAGAATGTTATGCCCTGGCTGTGAAATGTATTCAAAGAAAAATATCTGAATTTATTTAAACTCAGAGTGCATAGCTTATCTTATGAAATGCCAGTTTGCTGGATGAGGAGAGTAGATATAATTTCCTTTAAAACAGCATGCACCATATGAGAGCTAGATTACAAACTGTGAGTCTAAAGCTGTCATTTTTTTGGTTTGTAAGGTTAACCTTATATGGATAAGGCACTGCATTAACCCCTGAAGGTACAGGAACATACAAGTGTCAAGTTTTCAGTCAGGTGTTGGTTTCTCAAATTGAATTACAGAGAATTATGAAACATTGCTTTCCTATAAAATGCTGATAGGCATTTGATCAGAAAAGGTATTTTATGGCCCAGCACAGCATACCCTATGGAATTTATTTGACTAAATGATGTAATTTGCTGCAGAATTTTTCAAAGCCTTTACTATGACATTGGTCATGGTGAATCATAAATAGGAGGATTTCCTTCTTAATATACCTATACATTGATTAAACGTGGACTTTTCTTTTGCACAGAACTCCAAGCAACATCTTTATAATACTTTCCTGGACTATAGACAGTCATGCCAGTGTAATCCTTACCACCATATTGGCTGCTTCACCATGCATGGGGCATGGTTTCCATGGGAATACATCTCTGTGTTTATCACAGACATTCAAAGCACACAAAATTTTATATTAGGTCAAGCCATATAAAATTGCTCACAGTTGGCTATTTTTGTCTCACAAATATAACAACGTATGGTTGAACTAACAACTCACAAAATGGCCATTGTTCTTGCAACTAAAGATAATTAGTATAATAAAATGAAGTAGACCACTGTCTAGTAAATTTTCTAAAATAAAGCTCTAATTTAAATAGTTCAAAGCGTTGTTAAGAAACATTTTCTCCATGACCGACTTTTAAGCTGCATAGTCACAAATTTTTACTTGGCACATGAGGACATGGTATTTTTTGTAGCCTTTTTGATCAAGGGCCACAGGAAGTTTGCAGATGAATGAAGCCTATTGAGGTTGAAAGCAAATATAGCCATACAGAATAACAAACGAGTGGGAATCTCAGGTTATAAGACAGTTGGTCTGTCAATATCTGTTCATCCCTTCCTTGCACTGAAGCCCTGAAGAGGTTGTGACCCTGTAGAGAGTCTTGTTCTAATTCAACTCCTCCCACTCCCACAATAAACTCACTTAAAAATAGGGAAATCTGGCTTGCAAGTAGAGTAAAGTAAACTATTTTAAAAAGCAAATATTCATGACCTGAAAAATGTTATTATTTTCATATTACTGAACTTCAAGCTTTCACGTTTAACAAGAAATTAAATTTTAAAAGGAATTGGTAAATTCTACCTACCATATCAGCTAAGTGCCACTCAAAATATTAAAGTTTGTCTCTGGTAGTTTTTTCTTTTTTCTTCCAAACTGTATATATCCATTAAAACTCAGGAACTGTCCTACCAGAACAAACCAATGGCCCACTCAGTCTAGAATCCTTCCTCTAACAGCAGTTAATAGTGAATGCTTCAAAGGAAGATGGAAACATTTGATAATGTTCTCTATGCAGTGGAAAAATCTCTTCCTCCTGCAGAATGAATACTTAGAGATAGCAATGAAATGTGGAATGAATCTGATTTTAAGCAGGTAGTCCCATCTTTAGTCAATACTGTACATTATTTTGAAATGTATTTTTATTCAAGTCAATACACGATCAATGGTGCAAACCTGATCCTAATAGGAGCCAAGCTATTAAACAAAAGCGAAACGATATGAACTTACTAATTCTTTTTGGAAGATTTTCATTCTACGTCAGGACTTTTGGTGGTGGATACTCTGTCTTACTCACCTTTGCAACTTCATCCACTATCACAGTTTTATGGAGCCAAGATGTACTTGCAGAATTGCATCAAATATGATTTACTCTTAAATGCAGAGATATATTAACTGATTCAGCTCTTCGTGTCATATATGTATGTGTAGATATATGTAGCTATGTATAAAGTCCATATATGTATATAAAATTTGGACTTTATATATACATATAAATATATGTGCACATTCCATTCACACCCATAATGTTTTAGTGGTTTCAATATCAGCCTCCAGTTTAAACATAAAGCTATTTATGCTTTCTATAACTTTATTATGAGTGGTGGGTTTTATGAGTGGAGGAAAGAAAGACAAGAAAAAGAGAAAAAATTGTTTCTACTCATATGCATAAAGTTTGGGGCATGATAGAGCTCTTTGGTTTCCATCATGAAATGTGTTCACGTTATTATATATCCCTGGGACCAAACAATTCAATTAATCCAAAACTTATGCGTTGAATCTGACATACCCAATGGTCCTCTTTGAGAAATAAATGTTGAAAATGTCAATTCCATAATGTGGTAAAACCTGATTTCTCTCTATTTGAGGCATCACAAACCATTTATTGATTTTTTAAAAGAAACAGAAATAAGAAGAAACATGTACCAATTGAATAGGAAGTCAGACAATCCAATTACAGTTATGAAACTGAAGCATTGACTCTGACAGGCCTACTGATGGCAAACGACTGCTGGAAAATGCAAGAGAATAGCTGCCCACCCAGAGATGCACATACCTGAGGACATGCCTCATGGGGTAATGAAGTAGCTGAAACTAGTAGTCACGGGAGGTCAAAGGCCAACATTTTATTACCTGTTTAGTACAGTCGTATTGAACTGTATTATATATTTGAACATTTACCAGTGGTCAGTGGCCTCTGAGGGAATTTGCTTTCAATTATGCTCTACTGTACAATGATCTGACCATCAGAAATCTGCACATAAAATAAAATTATTATTTATTGTGCTTGATAAAAACTGAACTCTTTTAGCTCAACAACACAGTCTTTACTCTGTGGCTTAAACTTTATCCATCATCATCCAATATGTATTGATTGTCCATTTGATTCATAACATTATATAACAGTGCTTCGACAAAAGCTTCTTGAAATGAATCACAGAAAGATTTGATCCTTAGACTCTGAGAAGGGTAGGAGCTTTGTTAAGCAGATAACCTAAAAGTGATGATATTGAGAGAAAAGAAACATTTCTGAAATATATAGGTGATAAATTTAATAGTCTTCCCTTTTGTTTACCACCTGCAAGGTAAGAGGGAGAGTTGAGTACTAGCGATGGACCCTGAAAGTGATGGTAGAGAGATGAGGACTCTCTGAATGATGCCCTTTCTGGATGGTGGGAGAACACTTATGAATTACTGGCATCATCTGAAGACACCCTTAGACAAAGTGATATTTGCATTCTTAATGCAGCATATCCCCTCCTGATATGTGCTAGTAGCTAGTGTAGGACCAAAAGAGGAACCTCTCTTAGGTGGCTTACCCTTTAGGTTGGTTGGGCTCCATTTGCACAGTAAGAAGTCAAGCTTGCCTTCTATCTGTCGTCTGTCCAGAGTGGTAGAAAGCTTGTAAAGATATTTGATAACAATAAACAGAAGTTCAGTTTATAACACATCTGAGTTCAGGTCTCTGTTTTCCCATTAATACAGAGAGGCTGCTGCCACCATGAGATACAGATAGGGAAGAAGACCAGTTGAGAGTTCAGCAAGGTCCTTAAAATCCAGAGGCTCAATGTCGCTACATAAAATTAACTGGAATCCCCTGCTGTTCTTGGGATGTGACAACAATTGACTGTTTTCTCACTGTCTATCTGTAGTGTCCAAGGAGCTGTGAAGCATCAACTTTTTGACTCCAGTTCCCAATGTTGCCTTGTAGACATCTTAGATACTGCAGGAAACTAGAAACTAAAAACCATTCTTTTTAAATCTTATAACCTAGGTTTAGAAATACTTTAATTATTCTACTATAACTTTTTTTTTTTTTTTTTTTTTTTTGAGACAGAGTCTAGTTCTGTCACCCAGGCCAGAGTGCAGTGGCACGATCTCGGCTCACTGCAACCTCTGCCTCCCGGGTTCATGTGATTCTCCTGCCTCGGCCTCCCAAGTAGCTGGGATTACAGGCGTGCACTACCATGCCCAGCTAAGTTTTGTATTTTTTAGTAGAGACAAGGTTTCACCATGTTGGCCAGGCTGGTCTCAAACTCCTGACCTCAAGTGATCTGCCTGCCTCAGCCTCTCAGTGTGCTGGGATTACAGGTGTTAGCCATCATGCCTGGCCTATAACTTTTTTCTTGACCCTTTGGTGGCCCACATTAGCTACCTAGAAGGATACTGCCTTTTGTTATACACCAATCATTAACTGTTAGCTCCATCCATGAAAGTTCAATGACAGAAGTTTAGGACAGATTTGTCCCTAGAATATGAAGACTAAGGCTGTGATCATCACCAGCAATCATGTCCACTGTAAATAATTCAATAAAAAGAAGACTCAGGAAATAAAACAATACAGCTCCAATTTAGCTTTTACTCAAAATACAAGAGAATTGTAGAGATTTTTAAAAATACCATGGAGGATTTTAAAGGACTCTTGTAACTGCCTAAGTGTTTGTGTCTTCTTTAGCCTAAAAATTGGGAAACAGGAAGAAGGTACTAAGGAGAGAGCTCATTTAACTCCTCATTCTGGAAGAATCAGTTTTCATAACAACTGCCCTTATTTGTTTATTCATGTTCTTATGTTATATTTTCTTGTCACACTTACAACCTCTTTTGCCACAATAATAAGTAACACAGAAAAGGCAGCCAGATCTTGTTGGTAAGTCACAGCATCTTTTGCTTTGCAAGCAAATGCACTATTCTTTTAAAAGGTTTTTAAAAAATATACAAATAACAATTGGCCTGGTAATATTTTACTATCAATGGAGATACTGATTCCTTCAATTACGTAAAATACATACTTTAATTGCTTACTCAAAAATGGTAAAAGTAAATAATACTCCCTAAAGTTAAAGATGCATCAGGAAGAACAGCTCAGTTTATGATTTTTATGACTCAGTGACATATGGGAGCATTTATTATTTTAGTGGGTGTTGACCCCACACGGTTTTATCAGTCTGTCTTTCTCATATTAGCAAAGGTGAGAGAAAAGAAACTAGCATGGTGTTGGAAGATTTGCAAAGTCTGAATTCTCTCTCAAAATATGTCATATTATCACCATTTTACATGAGAAAATTAACTTGCAGAAAGAGTAAGCTACAGCGAAGCCTCATTAAAGGGAACAATCAGATTTTGAGTCTAGTTTTTGGTTCCAAAGCCTGATTCTTCTAGTCCACCTTGCTGAAAACCATATAATTTCCCTGCTATTGTAACTAACACCCTCCTAGATATATTGTGTTTTACCACTGGCTTAATTAAGTCATTAAAGTTTGTGGTATTTTTACTTGTGAGTATTTGGAAACTATAATTTCTAAGGTGAAAGTTGGTATACAAATATCTTTGTCATTAGCTTGTTTTTCCTGCCTCCAAGTTAGAGAAGCTGTGAATCAACAAACAGATATCAAAGTTACTCATGTAAAATGACCTCATTTAATAGTGTTGCAGCATAGGTGAAAAAGCTAAGATGGAAGCCGTAAGCACAAAGTGAAAAAATATTCAGACATAAAGTAGATTTCTGTTCAGATCGTAACTGTTTTGAAGACCATCTTAACTTTATTTTTTATTTCATCGCAAACTTCTAAAGGAAATGCAATGTCCAAGTTGAATCCTGAAGCACATGACACAATTGAGCACACAAACATGCATACTTTCTTTCTTTCTTTCTTTCTTTTTTTTTTGAGACAGAGTCTCACTCTGTTGCCCAGGCTGGAGTGCAGTGGCACGATCTCAGCTCACTGCAACCTCCGCCTCCCAGATTCAAGTGATTCTCCTGCTTCAGCCTCCCAAGTAGCTGGGATTACAGGCATGTACCACCACGCCTGGCTAATTATTCCATTTTTAGTAGAGATGGGGTTTCACCATGTTGGCCAGGCAGGTCTCAAACTCCTGGTCTCAAGTGATCTGCCTGCCTCGGCCCCCCAAAGTGCTGTGATTATAGGCGTGAGCCACCATGCCCGGCCAACATGCATACTTCTTAATCCATCTTGCTTGACATATCACAAAGGAGGACACAGAGCACAAAGAGGTGGAAAACTCCACCCAAAATCATAGGCTACACATGCATTCATGATGCATTTGTTTATTTTTAAGCCATTCATTTAATTGGCAGTCAGTCATCTAGTATATCAGTCATCTAGTATGTTAGTTGGGACTGGAGAAACAGAATGAAATAATTTGTTTTTGGTCCTAAAAGAGAATACACCCTAATGGGGAGGCAGGCATACAAACGGAGTATGACTTCAAGTGTACAAACTGCAATGAGTGCAAATCATGCATGTGTTCCATCATGGTATAACCCCTGTACATAGAAGATGCTCAGTATCTATGCATTGACTAATATGTATACAAATACGTGGTTTTATCTGTACAATATCCCTTTCTTCTTTTCACTGATTTGTATATGTCTGCAGAAGTATCTAAAAACCTGAAAACTATTGTTGAGTACAGTGGCATGGTGACAATCAGGCCCTGGGTCACAATGGCCAGAGTTCTAGAAACAAGCCTCATTTCATATTGTTTGTTTTTAACCCAGACTCTGGACCCATCGATTCTTTATGGAAAATTTCAAAACTGGAGAATTTAGTATTACAACACCTCTCTCTCTTCCTTATCTGGCTGATGATACTTTGTAACTCTCAGCTGAATATCGTGCAATGTTCTGACACCTTTCTCTGCTCAATGCTTAATTTTGCTGCATTTGTTATGAAATTTTCACTTCCTGCCAAAAATGCAAAAAGTTACTTGCATTTATGGAGAAAAGAAAATGTAAATTTTCTTGGAATGATAATTTTCTTTTTCATATATTGATTACTGAAAGATTTATTTTTAGGATACAGGTAATAATCCTTATCATTTTGTGAAAACAATCCTTACAAATAAGATAAAATAATAACTGATGCCTACATGACTAAATCAGTACTGATATGGATTGGCTAACTGATGGAAGCTTTCAGAGAGAAGTCAGAAACTAACTAAACTGACATAACAACAACAGCAACCGCAACTTCTCACCTCTAGGACTATTATCATTTATATCCACCGAAGTATATAATGGAATGTAAAGCATTCAGATGAAGCTATACTATTCAGTAACATGTATCTAAATTTCATCTCCAGTATTATTAAAAACAAAAGGATGTATAAAAAAATAGAATGCATACTGAAGAGCATGATTTAAAATAGGAGTAAACAGCCATGAAAAAGAATGAAATGATGCATTTCCTAGCAACATGGATGGAATTAGAGGTTTTTAGCGTAAGAGAAATAACTCAGAAACAGTCAAATACCACATGTTCTCACTTATAAATGGGAGCTAAATACTATGTACACATAGATACAGAGAGTGGGATAATAGACATTGGATACTCAGAAGGTAGAGGGTGGTGAGGAATGAGAGATTACTTAATGGGTACTATATATTATTTGCGCAATGAATACACTAAAAGCTCAGATTTCACCGCTATACAATATCTCCACGTAAAAAAACTGCGCTTGTATCCCCAACTCTATAAAAATAAAAAATAAAATAAAAACCAAACAAAATAGGAGTAGAGAAAAGAGATCATAAAGAATAGTAAAAACTAGAATAGTGTCCCTGAGGAAAAGAAGACTAGAAAATGCCTCCTCCACTTTATAAAAGGATTGCTATGAAAAATGTGCAGATCAATTGTCCTGTGTATCTTCTAGAAACAAAAGGCTTTTAAGCCTGTAGCCTCATTGACATAAAAAGTAATTATAATGACAACCAGGCTACCAAGAGAGATATTTGCATCGTCAACTTAAAAATGTCAACATACGATGCAAGCTGCATTCAGCTCAAGACTCCATATTAAAGGAAAAGATACTTTTCTTTATCCTAAATACTTGAGGTTTCCAGTTCTGGAGAAATTTTTTTTTCTCTCTGTAGTGAAGCTCTTAGAGAAGTAGGCAAGAACTACCACCTTGGAGTTGTGACCACAACTCAGAAACACCAGCAATCTACCAGGATTTGGGAAAACTGTGGCAACCAGTTTAAACATCACTAGTGTGACTCACCTACTACTTTCAGTTGTCATTATCAGTATCTACCTAAACATCTTGATATTCCTTTCAGTTCTAAATATCTGAAATGTCATGATGAAGTCTATTCATCCTTATTCAAAATCAAAAACTATTATGCTTTTTAAAGATATTATTTTCATTTATGGTATTTAAAGAAATAAAAGCATGAGAGACAATAGGGATATATGTTGATAAATAAAAAAATTACAACATAAATATTTGAAATAGGACTCAGAAAATAAAATTTTAAAGTTCAGAATTGCCTACAAAAAATCAACTTTTGGCTGGGAGCAGTGGCTCACACCTGTAATCCCAGCACTTTGGGAGACTAAGGCTGGAGGATCACTTGATGCCAGAAGTTCGAGACCAGCCTGGCCAACATGGAGGAACCCACATCTCTACTGAAAATACAAAAAAATTTGCCAGGCATGGTGGTGCATGCCTGTAATCCCAGCTACCAGGGAGGCTGAGGCATGAGAATTCCTCGAGCCCGGGAGGCAGAGATTGCAGTGAGCCGAAATCACGCCACTGCACTCTAGCCTGGGTGACAGAACGAGACTCTGTCTCAAAAAAAAAAGAAAAAAAGAAAAAAAGAAAAGAAAAGAAAAAGAGAATCAACTCTTTAGAAGATATATTCTGAAAGATCTACCATGAAAATACTTGGTGCTTTCTATATAGATGACATCAGAAAAATGGTAACAGGTATACAATAGCTGTGTTGAGAACTAATAATTGCACAGGTAGATTAAATTTTGTTACAAAAATAACAACTGTTCCTTCAACATTCCTAAACTCTGAGAACTAGTCCAGGAATAGGTTGGTCTGTAGGAGGAGACCAGACTGGAAAGGGTTTAAGAAATCAAAGAGCTAAAAAATTGATACTTCATAGTCTCTTGGGAGTCAATGAAGCCTATTATTTGAATCTCATCAACAAGCTAAATCTAAATGTGCATTTTCTAGGGAAGCTGTAAGTAAGATTACTCAGGGATCGTGGAATGACATATTCTTACCTCCAGAGTTTGAGAATGGAAATTATTCTCTCTAGTTGGAGTGCAGTTTTCATGGTTAGAACCTGCAGAGTGAAAAGGAGAGATTGATTAAATATGTTGCTTCCCATCCCAGCCATCCACAAGTTATCATTTTTAGCCACTGTGATTATTTTGCATTCAGCACAAAGATGGCAATCTGGCAGGTTTGTGAGCCTTGAGACTCCAACAGATTGGGGCCGAATTCTTGCTTGTGTGTCAAGGCAACAGAGCATGCTCCTGCCAGTCAATATGCCTTTTCTTGCCTTGTGGAAACTATTTCTACTCCATGCCAGTGTCAATTGCATTTCCCAGATATGGCTGCAAAATACTGTAACAAAGGTTGCTATTTAATTTGAAGTTGTTTTGGCAGGTGAGCTCTGCTATTGCAAATTGTGATTTGGAATCTGTGATTTACAGAGTAAAAACCCCTTATTGAAATATAAATGCTATTTAACTGTTAAGAAAAATAAAAAGCTATGCAGTCAGTCATTTAATCAATCTGATGGCAATATTTCTTGAAAACCTTGTATACACTGAAACCATAACTTGTGCTTTGAGGAAGTACAGAAGAAAAATGTTGATGCATCCCCCAAGGAATTTTTCCATGTGGGAAGGTGTAATTTATCCAACTAATTAAGGAGATCTTCAGCATTAACCAAGTTTTATGAGAAGAAAAACAGTGAATATAAAATACCTGAATAGGCCAGGCACAGTGACTCATGCCTGTAATCTCAGCACTTTGGGAGGCTGAGGTGGGCGATCCCTTGAGGCCAGGAGTTCAAGACCAGCCTGGCCAACATGGCGAAACACCGTCTCTACTAAAAATACAAAAATTAGCTGGACTTGGTTGCGCATCCTAGCTACTCGGGAGGCTGAGACATGAGAATCGCTTTAACCCGAAAGGGAGAGATTGCAGTGAGCTGACATCATGCCACTGCCCTCCAGCCTGGGCAACAGAACAAGACTCTGTCTCAAAATAATAATAATACCAGAAGATGGTTTATCCTTGAATAAAAATATAAACTGGTGGGTTAAAGCCAAGGACATTGTGTAGTGACAAGAGTTTTACTACTAGGTTTCTATATCATGTGCCATACTTACGGGTTTCGCAAATATTATGAAAGAATGAATATAAATAGATACATCTTTATCTTACAATTGAATAAAGCTGTATGTATTCTGAGCAGTTATTTTCTGTAAGCGCCTAAAATTTTCTTTGGTGCGGTAAACATGTGACTACCAGATGCCTGGCTGAATATACCATTTGGCATAACAAGGCAGAAGAGAGGTGTGAAGATATACAGCATGATCCCCTTACCTTATTGAAGCAAAAGTGAAGATGTGGCAGCTTCCCACTAAGCTCCATATCCCTCCAGATAGTTGACTGCCACAGTGTTGAGGAGAACACAGGCATCAGTAGATAACAGAGCACAGCATATAGGTTGCTTCTGTGTGCATCATTTTCTTATGACAAAAGTTAGAGTGCTGGCTCTAGAAAGCAATCCATACTTGGCATGAATATCTCTGTTATACAGTTTTTGTGCTGGGGAGGCATGAAGACAAGGGAAAAGAAGAAGGAAAGAGAAAATGGCTGTGTTTTGTCTCCCCTAAGAGGTTTCACTAATAATCTTGACTTCTTGGAGTGAATCTAATCAGTGTGGTAGATGTTTCTCATCCTTGTTCACCATTCTTATTTATTTCCCAAAAGCACTTCTCTAACTTTTGTCCACTTATATTTTTGCTTCCCTGCTTTCCAATACAATTCTTTCTTCTTCATTCTTATTCAATTATTTCTCTTGTTGAAAACTTGAGTGATGAATCTTCTGAGTCTGTTTTCTGAAGTCAGGATTTAAAATGCATGTTTACTGGGGGCAAGTTATCTCAAATGTCAACTGATACCAACAGATGGGGATTCTTGGCTGAGAGGAAGTAAATATCTGGGTTCCTCAGGCATATCAATCTTTTTTGGCCCTGTTTGAAAATGTCAGGGCTTTAGAGAATGTTCAACATGTAATGTGATTAGCAAATACGATGAAAAGTGGACCTGATTTAGGAATTCTTCCCTGAAGTTGAGACCATGAGGGGACCATATGTGCTTGAGTGGTGTCAAGATTCTAGCACGTCCGCAATGTTTCCTCTGCAATGCTTATGTGATAAGTGAGGTATTTAATAATAATGTCTTACATTATTTACATTTCCTTACAAATGCTTTACATTTCCCTTTAGAAAGTGCCATCAGATCCATGGTCTGCTGCTGATTTTGATTCTTATCACATCCTGTATAATAAGTAAGATAACTATTATCCTTGTATTGTAAATAAGGGGAATCAGTCTCAGAGAATTAAAGTGACTTAATGGGTTATATTCAGAATCATATTCAATTGTTGTTCCCCGAGCATCTTTGAAGTACTGGGCAATTGCTATATGCTAGTCTGTTTATTATCTTCCAGTTATTGTTCATAACAACCCAGTGGAATTGGTGGTATTACCTGTATTGAACAGATAAGTTTGAAGGCATGTAAGCCACTGTTGAGAATCATGTAGTTCTTAAGGAATAAAGCTGAGATGTAAGCCTGGGTTTTGTGAATCCAAGTCCAGTACACTTTACCTATGATGTTAAACATAACACTTTAAGCTGCTACTGTGGTATAATATTTGGACCACATAAGCAATTACTCAAATTCTGTTCTATTCATACTGATTACCTTTTAGATCCATGTTCTAAAATTCTGTTTTCATCATGCCAGCCAAGCAGTGGGAGGCACAAACATAGGTATAATAATTGTGTTAACAGCAATAATAAAAAAGCTACCATTTATTGCACATCTACCAAGTACACTGTGCTAAATTCTTTGTATAGGTTAGTAAAGAGTCTGAGTTCATTTTTATGTTCAACTGCTGACAACTTTCAAGCCCCACCACTTCCCTTTACCCTTCTGCCCCATATCTGGGCAAGCTAATAAGAAATTCCAGGGGCTCCCTCCTTTGGTACCTGCAGGGGGTTCAAACGATGCAAGCCCTGGTCTATGCTGGACAATCTGTTCCTCAGCCTCACTCCCTAACCAACATAACACCCCAAGCCAGGGGCCCTCCCCTGATCTCTAGCCATTTTTTTGGACCTACTTGGTAGCCTATGCTACTCCTTCCAAGGGCCTCCTTATGTGAATAATAAACCTTTTCGTACTCCATTGGGGTATGTGTAGCATCATCAGTCTCAACATTTGGACCAAATTTTGGGTATGAGGTCCATCCTACTTCTGTGGAGCCCTCAACACATACATTACCTCTCAGCACTCATCCTGAAATCATGCAGTTATTGTTATCTACATTTTACACATGAGGAGCCTGGAACATAAAGAACTAACTCTGCAGTGTGTGTGTGTGTGTGTGTGTGTGTGTGCACGTGTGTGTGTGTGTGTGCGTGTGTGTACAGGGTGATAGAAGCTGACTAGATGTCTACAAGAAGAAACTGAGAAGAATTATGTTTTTATAAGCTTAAGAAAATACTTAGCTTTCCCTGAGAAACAGTGACTTGAAATACCAGGTGACTCATGGTTGAGTTAGATAATGTTTCGTAAAATTTTGTAAGGTCCTTGGTAGGTGCTCCCAAAATATGTATACTAAAAATTGATATTTCACAAGTTTCTGCCTGTTCATAATGAAATTGTGTCCTTCAGTTACATAATAGCCCACCCTCAAAACAGTTTTTAGGTATGTTCCCTGAAGAAATAAATTGGAAAATAAAATACTAGCTGAATTTTCACTCCCTGCTGATTTGGAGGAAGCTTAATTAAAATGTGTTACTTCTAGAATCTCTCATCAGAGTTTCAGTGAAAGTCTTTCCTCTTCTCATCTTTCCTGCCCTTTCCCCAACCTGAGGATCTAATCAGAGCACCGTACTAAGCTGCTGCTTTCATTAGTATCTCTGCTGCCATTGCCTGGCAGAAGCATGCATCAATGCTGAGTGTTCCAGGCCTAAAATGTGAGGATTTCCAATCATTTTCAAGATTAGGGAACCCTCAAAGTGTTTTGACCCTACCAGGTGAGAGGCATTTGCCATATAGACCATAGAGGTCATAATTAGTAAGAGATATTTCCAAAAACTCAAGACAGAGTTCATGAAATGCTGCCTTCTTTTAAATTTTTTCCATAGAAAATGATTCCACTGGTGTCTTTTTAAAAGATTGCATATCAGGAAACATTTTTCTAATGTATAACTCATTCTATTTTATACTATTTGCCATTTGTTACTGTTAAAACCTAGCTTTATTTCCTAGACAACAGTTTCATTTCAAAGTATTAAATTCCTTTAGTGATGCACATTTCTTTATAATTGTTTTCTTACACAAATATCATTTGCTACAGTCATAGATTTTTTTTCTTTCCTTTAACTATGATGACTATCTCTAGTTTTTATCTCTGTATGCACACTTTTATTCTACAAACAGTCTTTCACCCCATCTTCTCTTTCTGGGTACTCTTAACATGTCTAGTGCATGTCTCTCTTGGTCATCTGCCCTTGCACATGAAAGATGCTCTTTACAAGAGATTGTAATGACTTGAATAAGATCAATAAACAAGCCAGAGTTGTATATAGTGGATGTTTGATTATAGCTGATAAGGAGAGATGGAAGACAGACAGGAAAAGCTTACTTCCTTGAGTTTGGTTTGAGAAATCTGACAAAAATACATTTAGTTTCACAGAAAGTGAAAATAGAGATGTCCATTAAAAACCACACTATTACATTGAGTAGTGACAAAGTAAATCATTGTACTATACATGTAGTTTTCCACCTGTGGTATAGACTGCATTACTCAAGATCTCCATGCACTCACTGTAGGAGAACAAGCATCAAAACCTGACCATACATGTAGTAAAGTAGAGGATGTTATGTAAGAAAGTACTGCAGAAGAGGCAAAAGACAGCATAGCCTTTCAACAATCAGGAAAGCATGTAAGAACCTAGTCTTGGGAATGCCTGGAGACCTTAGAAAATAAGTATTGATTCCCTGCTAGTGACTTGAGAAAGTTCTTTTAGAAGACCATGGAACATTGGGTTTGGGAATAGTGTTAGGCCTTTCTATCAAAGTATTTTATGTTCTTTTTAATCAAATGAAGGTCAAGTAACTTCCATTAATCTACTTCCAGCCATTTCTGTGGGGTGGGGGGCGGTTTAGGTAGTAGACATTTAAAGTTGAAATTGGGATATTTAGATTTATATTGTATCTCTTTATTTAGTCTTTGTATAAACCATAGGCAAGTCACTTAATTCCTCTGAACCACAATTTTTTTTCATCTTTAAAATGGGCATAGTGTACGTTACCTATTTCATAGGATCAATATAAGAATTGAGATAATGTTTGAGACTTGCTGTGAGCCTTTGAGATGGTGAAATCTATTAAAAAGTTAATTGTTATTATTGTTCCTTAATATAGACTATTAGAGATTGAATCAACTGCCTATTATTTGGAGAGTCAATTTTGATTGGATACAAATTTTTGTCTCTTTATTTGACTTGGTGGTAGTGAGGATATTGCTGGAAGTGATGGTGTTTTAAAGTATTATTTTTAGGCTGGGCGCGGTGGCTCACACCTGTAATCCCAGCACTTTGGGAGGCCGAGGTAGGCAGATCACCTGAGGTCAGAAGTTTGAGACCAGCCTGACCAACATGGAGAAACTCTGTCTCTACTAAAAACGATACAAAATTAGCAGGGCATGGTGGCACATGCCTGTAATCCCAGCTACTCGGGAGGCTGAGGCAGGAGAATTGCTTGAACCCGGGAGGCGGAGGCTGCGGTGAGCCAAAATCGCGCCATTGCACTCCACCCTGGGCAACAAGAGTGAAACTCTGTTTCAAAAAAACAAACTAACTAACTAACTAAATAAAGTATTATTTTGATAAAATGTAACTAAGCAACTAAACTTTTCCTTTCTCCCTTCATTTTTCTAGCTATGTTAAAATGGGGCCTGAAATGGATAATAGGTACAAATGCCATGGCCTAAGGAAAGGGCGTATAAATCCTAGGCAGCATGCTTTAACCTGAAGCAGAGTGCACCTTCTTTATAAAGCCGTGGCAGGATTAATTAAAGCAAAATTTAATGAGCTAAAAAAGACTTTGTACCCTGTGGACATAAATACTAAACATCTAGCCCCAAACTATTAGTATTTAAAATGCCCTGAAGATCTTAAAATTATTAGCAAATATTGGTGAGGTTCTAAACTTACTATAGCAGCACCTCACTTAAAAAATGAAGATTGGTGGGACTGAGGTGGAGGAAAGAGATACTTATATTGGCTCTCATCTCACAGTCAAAATGAAAACACTCAAACGAATATTATTTTTGACACTTAAGAGTCAAAGTACAATGGGTTCAAATCAGCTTTTCTTTGAGAGGACCAAGCATTCAAACCAAAAAAATAAATTAATAATGCAATTCATTAATTAAACTTACAGAAGTGGTTTGATATATATAATTCATGGGGTGTAGCGTAGGGAAGAACCAAAATCATATTTCATTAGTGTCAGATAAATGTGTACTTTTTCCAGGAAAAGTTTGAAACATGAAACTGCTAAACCTCAATCCTTTATCTACTTTAGCCTTACGATTTTAGGTGTTCAGGGTATTATTATCACCTTAAGGATGAAGCAGCAATGCCTAGACATGTGTCAAGGAGATACAGCTACCAAGTTTTTTTTTTCTTTATTTCTTCTAAAGAAAAACAAAACAAAACAAAACAGGAAACGTGCAGAATGCACAGGTTTGTTACATAGGTATACGTGTGCCATGGTGGTTTGCTGCACCTATTGACTCATCCTCTAAGTTCCCTCCCTTCACCCTCCAACCTCCATTAGGCCCTAGTATGTGTTGTTCCTGCTCTGTGTCCATGTGTTCTCAATGTCCAACTCTCACTTATGAGTGAGAACATGTGGTGTTTGGTTTTCTGTTCCTGTATTAGTTTGCTGAGGATGATGGCTTCCATCTTCATCCATGTCCCTGAAAAAGACACGATCTAATTCTTTTTTATGGCTGCATAGTATTCCTTCGTGTATATGTACCACATTTTCTTTATCCAGCCTATCATTGATGGGCATTTGGGTTGGTTCCATATCTTAGCTATTGTAAGTAGTGCTTCAATAAACATAAGTGTGCATGTGTCTTTATAGTAGAATGATTTATAACCCTTTGGGTATATACCCAGTAATGAGATTGCTGGGTTAAATGGTATTTCTGGTTCTAGATCCTTGAGGAATTGTCATACTGTCTTCCACAATGGTTGAACTAATTTACATTCCCACCAACAGTGTAAAAGTGTTCCTATTTCTCCACAGCCTTGCCAACATCTGTTGTTTCCTGACTTTTTAATAATCACCATTCTGACTGGTGTGAGAAGGTATCTCACTGTGGTTTTGATTTGCATTTCTCTGATGATCAGTGACATTGAGCTTTTCTTCATATGTTTGTTGGCTGCGTAAATGTCTTCTTTTGAAAAGTGTCTTCTTTTGAAAAGTGTCTGTTCTATCCTTTGTTCACTTTTTGATGTGGTTGTTTTTTTTTTTTCTTGTAAATATGTTTAAGTTTTTTTGTAAATTCTGGATAGTAGACCTTTGTCAGATGGGTAGATTGCAAAAATTTTCTCCCATTCTGTAAGTTGTCTGTTCACTCTGATGCTAGTTTCCTTTGCTGTGCAGAAGCTCTTTAGCTTAATTAGATCCCATTTGTCAATTTTGGCTTTTGTTGCAATTGCTTTTGGTGTTTTGGTCATAAAGTCTTTGCCTTTGCCTATGTCCTGAATGGTATTGCCTAGGTTTTCTTCTAGGGTTTTTATGGCTTTGGGTTTTACAATTAAGTCTTTAATCCATCTTGAGTTAATTTTTGTATAAGGTGTAAGGAAGTGTTCCAGTTTCAGTTTTCTGCATACGGCTAGCCAGTTTTCTTGGTACCATTTACTGAATAGGAGATCCTTTCCCCATTGCTTGTTTTTGTCAGGTTTGTTGAAGATCAGATGGATGTAAATGTGTGGTGTTATTTCTGAGGTCTCTGTTCTGCTCTATTGGTCTATATGTCTGTTTTGGTACCAGTACCATGCTGTTTTGGTTACTGTAGCCTTGTAGTATAGTTTGAGGTCAGGTAACATGATGCCTCCAGCTTTGTTCTTTTTGCTTAGGATTGTCTTGGCTACATGGGGTCTTCTTTGATTCCATATGCAATTTAAAGTAGTTTTTTTTTCTAATTCTGTGAAGAATGTCAATGGTAGTTTGATGGGAATAGCATTGAATCTATAAATTACTTTGGGCAGTATGGCCATTTTCATGATATTGATTCTTGCTATCCATGAGGATGGAATGTTTTTCCATTTGTTTGTGTCCTCTATTATTTCCTTGAGCAGTGTTTCATAGTCCTTCTTGAAGAGGTCCTTCACATTGCTCGCTAGCTGTATTCCTAGGTATTTTATTCTCTTTGTAGCAATTGTGAATGGGAGTTCAATCATGATTTGGCTCTCTGTTGTTGGTGTAAATGCATGCTCGTGATTTTTTGCATATTGATTTTGTATCCTGAGACTTTGCTGAAGCTGCTTATCAATTCAAGAAGTTTCTGGGATGAGATGATGGGGTTATCTAAATATAAAATCATATCATCTGCAAACAGAGACAACTTGACTTCCTCTCTTTCTATTTGAATACCCATTATTTCTTTCTCTTGTCTGATTGCCCTGGCCAGAACTTCCAATACTATGTTGAATAGGAATGATGAGAGAGGGCATCCTTGTCTCGTACTGGTTTTCAGAGGGAATGCTTCCAGCTTTTGACCATTCAAAATGATATTGGCTGTGGGTTTGTAATAAATAGCTCTTGTTATTTTGAGATATGTTCCATCAATACCTAGTTTATTGAGAGTTTTTAAATGTGAAGGGATGTTGAATTTATTCAAAGGCCTTTTCTGCATCTATTGATATAATGACGTGGTTTTTGTCTTTGACTCTGTTTATGTGATGGATTATGCTTATTGATTTGCATATGTTGAACCAAACTTGCATCCCAGGGATGAAGCTGACTTGATCGTGATGGGTAACTTTGTTGAGGTGCTGCTGGATTCGCTTTGCCAGTATTTTATTCAGGATTTTTGCATCGATGTTCATCAGGGATATTGGCCTAAAGTTTTCTCTCTCTTTTTTTTTTTTATTTGAGTTAGGGAGGAGTCCTTCCTTTTCAATTGTTTGGAATAGTTTCAGAAGGAATGGTACCAGCTCCTCATTGTATTTCTGGTAGAATTCAGCTGTGAATTTGTCTGGTCCTGGGCTTTTTTTGGTTGGTAGGCTATTAATTACTGCCTCAATTTCAGAGCTTATTATTGGTCTATTCAAGGATTCGACTTCTTCCTGGTTTAGTCTTGGTAGGGTGTATGCATCCAGGAATTTATCCATTTCTTCTAGATTTTACCGTTTATATGTGTAGAGCTGTTTATAGTATTCTCTAATGGTAGTTTGTATTTCTGTGGGGTCATTGGTGACATCCCCTTTATCATTTTTTATTGTGTCTATCTGATTCTTTTCATCATCTTCTTTATTCATCTAGCTAGCGATCTATTTTGTTATTTTTTTCAAAAAGCCAGCTTCTGGATTCATTGATTTTTTGGAGGGTTTTTCGTATCTCTATCTCCTTCATTTCTTCTCTGATCTTAGTTATTTCTTGTCTTCTGCTGTCTTTTGGATTAGTTTGTTCTTGCCTCTCTTGCTCTTTTAATTGTGATATTAGGATGTTGATTTGAGATCTTTCAAGCTTTCTGATGTGGGCATTTAGTGCTACAAATTTCCCTCTAAACACTGCTTTAGCTATGTCCCAGAAATTCTGGCACATTGTCTCTTTGTTCTCATTTGTTTCAAAGAACTTCTTGATTTCTGTTTTAACTTCATTATTTACCCAGGAGTCATTCAGGAATAGGTTGTTCAATTTCCATGAAATTGTGTGGTTTTGAGTGAGCTTCTTTATCCTGAGTTCTAATTTGATTGCAGTGTGGTCTGAGAGACTGTTTGTTATGATTTCAGTTCTTTTGCATTTGCTGGGGAGTGTTTTACTTCCAATTATGTGGTTGATTTTAGAATAAGTGCCATGTGGGACGGAGAATAATGTATATTCTGTTGATCTGGGGTAGAGAGTTCTGTAGATGTCTACTAAGTCCACTTGATCCAGAGCTGAGTTCAAGACCTGAATATTGTTGTTAATTTTCTGTCTCGTTGATATGTCTAATACTAACAACGAAGTGTTAAAGTCTCCCACTATTATTGTGTAGGAGACTAAGTCTCTTTGTAGGTCTCTGAGAACTTGTTTTATGAATCTCGGTGCTCCTGTATCAGGTGCATATATATTTAGAATAGTTAGCTCTTCTTGTTGAATTGTTCCCTTTACCATTATGTAATACCCTTCTTTGTCTTTTTTGATACTTGTTGGTTTAAAGTCTGTTTTGTCTGAGACTGGATTGCAGCCCCTGCCTTTTTGGCTTTCCATTCTCTTGGTAAATTTTCCTCCATTTCTTTATTTTGAGCCTGTGTGTGTCTTTGCACGTAAGATGGGTCTCCTGAATACAGCACACTGATAGGTCTTGACTCCTTATCCAATTTGCCAGTCTGTGTCTTTTAACAGGGGTGTTTGGTGCATTTACATTTAAGGTTAGTATTGTTATGTGTAAATCTGATCCTGTCATCATGATGCTATTTGGTTATTTTGCACAGTAGTTGATGCACTTTCTTCATAGTGTCATTGGTCTTTATATTTTGGTGTGTTTTTGCAGTGGCTAGTACTGGTTTTTCCTTTTTATATTTAGTTCTTCTTTGAGGAGCTCTTGCAGGGCAGGCCTAGTGGTAATAAAATCCCTCAGCATTTGCTTGTCTGGAAAGAATTTTATTTCTCCTTTACTTATGAAGCTTAGTTTGGCTGGATATGAAATTCTGGGTCAAAGATTCTTTTCTTTAAGAATGTTGAATATTGGCCCCCAGTCTCTTCTGGCTTATAGAGTTCCTGCTGAGAGGTCTGCTGTTAGTCTGATGGGCTTCCCTTTTCAGGTGACCTGGCCTTTCTCACTGGCTGCCCTTAATAGTTTTTCTTTCATTTTGACCTTGCAGAATCTGATTATTATGTGTTTAGGAGTTGATCTTCTTGTGGCGTATCTTAATAGTGTTCTCTGCATTTCTTGAATTTGCATGTTGGCCTGTCTTACTAGGTTGGGGAAGTTCTCCTGGATAATATCCTGAAGTGTGTTTTCCAGCTTGTTTCCATTCTCCCCATCTCCTTCTGGTACTCCAATTAATCATAGGTTCGGTCTTTTTATGAAGTCCCATATTTCATGGAGGCTTTGTTCATTCCTTTTCATTATTTTTTTTTTCTCTATGCTTTTCTGCATATCTTATTTCAGTAAGGTGGTCTTCAAACTCTAATATCCTTTCTTCTGCTTACTCGATTTGGCTGTTGATACTTGTGTATACTTCACAAAGTTCTTGTGCTGTATTTTTCAGCTCCATTAGGTCACGTGTGTTCCTCTCTGAATTGGTCATTCTAGTTAGTAATTCCTCTAAACTTTTATCAAGGTTCTTATCTTCTTTGCATTGGGTTAGAACATGCTCCTTTAGCTCAGCAGAGTTTTTTATTACCCATCTTCTGAAGCCTACTTCTGTCAATTCATCCATCTGATCCTCCATCCAGTTCTGCACCCTTGATGAAGAGATGTTGCTATCACTTGGAGAAGAAGAGGCACTCTGGCCTTTTGGGTTTTCAGCATTTTTTTGTTGTTGATTCTTTCTCATCTTTGTGAGTTTGTCTAGTTTCGGTCTTTGAGGCTGCTGACCCTTGGATGGGTTTTTTGTGGAGGCCTTTTTGTTCTTGTTGTTGTTGTTGTTGATGCTGTTACTGTCAATTTCTGCTTGTTCGTTTTTCTTTCAATAGTACGGTCCCTCTTCTGTGGGGCTGCTGCAGTTTGCTGTGGATTCGCTTCAGGCCCTATCCATCTGATTCGCGCCCTGGAGATGTCATTCAAGGAGGATGGAAAGCAGCAAAGTATGGGTGCCTGCTCCTTCTTCTGGGACCTCTGATCTTGTAGGGCAGCAGCCTGATGTCAGTAGGATTGCTTCTGCATGGGGTGTCTGACAACCTCTGTTGGACGGTCTCACCCAGTTGGGTGGCCCGGGGAGAAGGACCCATTTAATGAAGCACTTTGTCTCTTTGCTGGGGAGAACTTCACTCATCTGGGCTGCCCAGATTCCTCAGAACTACCAGGAGGACAGGCTAAGTCTGCTGGTCCACAAATTCTGTGGCCACCCCTCCCACTAGGGGCTCAGCCCTGGCAGATCCAAATTCTGTCCATGAGCCCCTGGCTGGAGTTATTGGAGATCCTACAGGGAAGCCCTGCCCACTGAAGAAGGATGGGTCGGGGTTGGGCCTGAAGAGGCACTCTGGCCACAGACTGCCGCAGCCAGTGTGTTGGGCTGTGGAGACAACTCTTGAGACCAAGCCATCCAGCCCCTCTGGCTCCAGCAGGGGAAAAGCGCAACCTGGAGCTATAGAAATGGGTGCCGCTCTTCCCCCACCCAGGGAGCTTAACGTGGGTGGTGTTAGGTAGTTGTGAGTCCCAGTGCTGGATGCTGCCCCTCCCCCAAGGAGCTCAAACAGCTTAGACACAGGGCAGTGTCAGGCAGCCCATGCTGGTCACCCCTCCCTGCGGGGAAGTTGGATAGGCTTAAGCAGACTCCAGCTGAGAGGCTGTAAGAATCTGCATTCAGGGTTCGGGATTCTAGGACCCGGTGGCGTGGGTTTGCAAGTGGGATCTTCCGATCCATGGGTTGCCCAGTTCCAAGGAAAAAGCACAGTTTCCCTGGTAGTGTGCTCACTCACCGCCTCCCTTGGCTGGGGGGAGGCAGCTCCCCTTGCCTGCTCTCAGGTGGGCTGCGGCACAACACCGCTCTTCCTTCTCTTCGTGGGTCACATCAACCTTCTAGACAATTTTGATGAGAGAACCTGGATACCTTGGTTGCCTGTGAGGATTCACAGGCTTTTTATGTTTTTTTCCCATTGGCGCCTCTGAATGCAGCTGCTTCTAGTCAGCCATCTTTGCCCCGCCCCCCACAGCTACCAAGTTTCATAATCAAGTGTTGGAATTCAAATTTTCTGATTCTGAGTAATGCCATCCATCTTTACATTGACAGATTTTTAAATAATAGGGAGATAAGTGGTTTTCTTAACTAATTTCAATAATAGCCTTCTCAGAATAATAGAGACGTATCTTCCTGGGAGGTTCAGTTTGCTTACCCTAGGGGACAATGAAACATTTGCTTGGTAACCTGCATCTGTGGCCTGACCAGAAATGAATGCAGCTCTCTTAGACTGTATGACATGCCCTCTGACTAGCAAGCTGGTAACTGCTGAATGCCAAGCTCTGCTTTCAAAATGCCCATGTCACAATTGCCAGTGGATGACCTGATATCATGACCAATGCTGTTTTGGTAAAGTAGAGACACTTTCCTAGATTTGTGATCTTTACACAATCTCTATCTCTGAAGATACCTTAGAGAAATCATTTTAGTACTATTATCTGTAGTTAAATCATGTTGTGCATGCAGTAAGTGTTTTAAATGAAAGTAATTTAAAACAACTCTGTGTGTTTAACTCTGGAATTACACTTTTTACTGTACCTCAATAGATTTCAGACAAATGTGTGTAATATGTTCACATTTATGTTGTTTTTTTCTTATTAAAATACATTGGATTTATGCTTCTAATATCATGTTTTGAGAAACTAAGTGGATCATACTGAAGTTGAACTTATTTCTCTATCAGTGCAAAAAAAGGAGCTATTACCAAACCTCTATTAAAAAGGTATGTGAAAATAAACAGTAAAAATAAAAATACATATAAAATGTTATTTTACAAAAATGAATGAATGCTTGACTTTAATTAATTAATCGTTCGGGCAAGAAGACTTTGCCCGGTTTAATACTTGAATTCAGTAATAGACTCCCAAGTTAAACTTTAGAAGTCCCAAGTTTTCATTTTCTCCAATGCTGTTTCATTCTTCAGAATAGTTTGTGATAAATGGTGAATAAGACCCAAAGCCCAATTTGGGGTGAAAATGAAGGCTTCGTATGTCTTCAAGTGGCTGTTAACACAGGGTAAAGGAAAAGACAGACAACTACTAATACTTTCAGCTTAAAAGTACCTGAGTCTTTCTCCCTCATAAGGGAAATACATTTTGTGGGGAAGTTTTTTCATAATTTAAACATTCTGAGCAAGTTTTCTTTTTATATGTCAAGAAGCATTACAGAACTTGAAGCCAATAGAAATAGATGCAGCACCTGATGGAGTAGTGTGATAGTATAGCAAAAGGACAAGATCGGAGGCTTGAATGAACTGAGATCAAATCCTGGCTGTACTGTTTTCTAACTGAATAATCATGAGCACATTACTTAACCTCTCAGAGGCTTAATTTCTTTATCTATACATGGGGTCAATAACGTTCTTGTGTTGAGTTATTGTTACAGCTAACTAGTACTTGACTTAAATATTCAGTACACAATATTATTATTTGTAAGTCTAAGATTAGGTCTTCCTTATAAAATTATAATCTTACAAATCACTCCAAAAATTAGCAAGAGAAGGAAACCTACATCCATCACTCCCTCTTTTGGAATACGAATGGCTTACTGAATAACTACATGCAAAACCTCTCTTAAGTAAGTACTGATGTTTAGAATAAATTGTCCAAATCAAAGTGATGAATGCTGTGGCATAACAGTTATTTTCTTCTTTCTTATGAAAATAGCAACACCTAGGTTTAATTATTTTTGAAACTGCTGTCCTAAAAGCTATTAATTCACCTGCCAGGGTGAGTCATAATCAAGAATTAGTTTAGCCTTACTGCAGGCATTTGTGGCACATTGAGACAAGTGAGCACAATGGGAGGTGTCAAACACAAAACCCTGAAACTTTGAGCCCTGTCTCCAAACTGTGTGAGGAAAACATAGTCCCATAATCTGCCTTATCCATTTGAAAAGGGCCTGAACAAACCCTTTCTAATAGAGATCAGACCTAAGCCTCCTGAAAAGGAGTAGAGGCCTCTTCCTATTGTCCCCTCCCTCTGTCCTTTCTCCCTTCCTCCGGAGCACAAGTACCTCAGTGAAACATCCTGCCACTTGGAATTCAGAGTAAAAGCGGCTTCACAAATAGGGCAATAAACATAAATGATACCTGTGGGTAATAGGTTTGAAATTGCTGTTTTCCTAGGTAACTGGATATAATTACAAGTACTCTGGATTCCAGGGGACTACGGTGTAATTATCACTCTAATTTCCAGAATAAAAAGAAAGGATTACAACAGTGTTGCCACAACTCAATAACGTGAGAAAAGGGATCTTGCTAGAAAGATAACAGTATTTGAGCATATTTTTCTTGTGCTCATTTCACATTGGGAGCATATGTTGGCCAAAAGCACACAAATCTATGTGATTAAATTGGTATAAGTTACAATACATCACCACTATAGTAAGGCTACTGCAGGGTTTCTTAGTAAGTTACAAAAAAAAAAAAAAAAAAGGGGAGCAGGGAGGGAGAAGTAACGAGTGATATCACCGCATTCTAACTGTGGGCAGGTTATCATATATTTTGGAAGTAATTAAAGACGATCGAGTGATACTTCCCAGCCTGATGAGTGATTCTGCCACAGCCTCACAGCAGGGAGGCCCCTGTGTGTTACTGCACATTTCCATAGTATTTACTGGGGTAATGAGTGTTATTGCTGTGGTGTAACAGCAGGGTGCACTGCTCCCTGTGTTTCTTGAGAGTGCTGCCATAATTAGAAGGCAAAATGTGATTGCTGTTTTTCTAGACACCAGTCATGATCTATTCCTATATTGTTCTGTAGTAATTACCAAATGACATAGTGCTATTTCCCAGGGTATTTACTTTGGACAAACAAGGAAGATTTTTTTATATTAAATTAATTAATTTTTTTGCCATTGAGGCTTAATGACATTGTTTCTAATTTGGTTATAGAATGTATAATTGCAAAATTGTTATTGACTTGTAATCACTGGCTCATCTACCATCTTTGCCGTTGTTTGTCTTGGGCCTCGGCAGCAGGGTTGCCGTTGCATTGGCAGTGTTTTTGAAGCTTCACAGTGCAGGCAAGAGGGAAGAGATGGCAAAAAGAATAACACAGGCCTGTCACATATGCTCAGCCTTTAAAATTTACTTGAACAGTTATATTTGAATACTCTGCATCTATGTGACCCTTTTTCATTTCTAAAATTAGTGCCATTATATCAATCAAGAGGACATGTAGTCAGTAGAATGAAGCCTCAGATCAGCCAATAGTTACATTTTACCTCACATGATATAAGTATGAAGATCTGTCTTGGTTTCAAACATTTTTATTTACTCTCTACATCAATGACCAAAATGTCCCATAGATTCTGCAATTTTTACTTTGGATTCCATCAGTGTCTGTCTTGTTGATTTTAATTTGGGAGAATGTAATCTATGTATGCACAGGAGAAGCACTTTGGATGGTAGAGGCAAAGGTGGTATCTGGAGCCTGTGGCTCTGTGTAGCTCTACCCTTATAAAGGGTTCACTTGATGTTGAGAGCACTGGTAAAGGATATGTGTGCTGGAGCCCTACTGCCTGAGTTCAAGTCCCAGATGTACCACTTATGAGCAAGTGATCCATGGGAAAATGTTTTAATTCCTCTAATACTTGATTTCCTCATTCATAAAAAGTGGAAAGTAATAGTACTGGCTCATAGATCTGTCATAGATTTCATGAGATAATGTATATTAAATGCCTATGAAAACGCTTGTACCAAGAAAGTTTGTATTAAATGTTAGATATGATTATTATTCATCCTGTTGAGCCTCAATAGGAATGTGCTATCATTTTCTCCTTGAAGGCTCTTGTAGTTCCCTAAATCTTCGATATTTTGTGTTTGAGGCTAGGTCAAAAAAAGCATAAAATACCTATGTGAATATGTATGTCTCATTCCATAATCCTGACCTGAAATATCTTGTTTCCTCAATTCTCTACTTATATACAAGGTAGGCAATAGATTTGAATTCTAGCTATGGTAGAAACAATAAAGGAAAGAACCTCGGATTAATTAAATAGGAAGAAAAATCTATGCACGAGTACACTGGGATTTTGAGCACTCCATGTGGAATTAAACTCAACAATGGCAGCCAGATGAGAGAAAGGCCTTATGAGGTAAAACCAGTGAGGTAGGTGAAACACTCTTCCTCTAAGAATTTGTATGAGGAGTGTTAAGAGTTCACTCACTTTTAGGACTTTTCTGAAGAAGGAGTTCTATATCTATCCATTTTTACCTGTATGCTCTTTAGTTCCCTGGTAGATTTCTTTACTTGAAACTGCTTTATACTATCAAAGATACTGGCTAAAAGAATTCTTCTCATTGCTACACATCACGGAGAGACCAAAAGTGAATCTCTCAAAACAGAGAGACTAGAACTCTAGTCAGTTCTTGGGAATAAACTGCAGTAGGTATTGTAGGACGTAAGAATAGGAGAGTGAGCCTTCTGTATTAATGGTTCTGTGCAAGGATAGACCTTAGGCCTTGCACAGATGGAAAGGTCCCACTTGTGTAGAACTGGGATGCTTGAAGAGTGACTGAATTCCCAGCAATTAGTGCTAAAACTCCTTAAATAGAGAAGCCAATGCTGACAGCAAACGGCACCAGAATGTTAAGAGAGCTGGCAACGGCATAAACTGGGTAGATCAGAAAGTTAGTAGAAACCAGATATTATTCTCTCAAGCCTCATATCTATGGTTTTCACCAACCCATAATGTATAGTATCTACAGTTCTGTGTATATAATAACAAGAATATTAATTGTTCAGTAAACTAGATATATTTGTAAGCCCAGGGAGTAGATTCTTAGAGTATGAGTTAACCCTTTTATTCCACTTATAAGACTCTGGGTAGAATGGTAAATCAAATAGACTAAGATGATAATTGTGGATAAGAATTCTTACATGCAGAGATGTCAGGCTTGGTGGGAGGTATTCTGCAGAATTGTTCCTCCACATGGCTTATTTCTTGTACAGGTAGGCCACACAGCACATGTGGTCCTGCAAATCTATTCCCTGGTAATGCTGTGTCCTCCATCATTTCACCATGGCATATCCGTCCATCTTTGTGAGCACAATTTTTTATTAATCAGCGAAACGTTTGGGCCTTTGAAATTGAAATGGATTTCAGTCTTCTTTATATATTAATTATTGATTAATGGAGCCCAGGAGACAAGGAAGAAGCCTGGCATGATTAAAGACAGATAGTTTTTAATTTTATGTCTCTTGCAGTGACAGAGAAATTTAGTTTAATAGGAGTAATTTTTCAAAGGAGATGCAATCATGAAGGAGGATGTATAGAAAATTGGCAAAGCATATTAAAAAAGAAAGAACTTGTGGACATAGGATATTTCCATAGATAACCTAAAAATTTCCTAGAAGGCATTACCAAGATGGACGGATAGAGGTTTCATGGAAATTTTATCTATACTTTTGCTGATATAAACTATAACCCTAGAACCAGACCCATATCACATTATTTAAAAAATGCTTACATATCCAGCTAAGACAATTTTGTATCTTTTACATTATTTCAGAGTCTCCCAAATTATAGAAAGTCTCAAACAGCCTTAATTATATAATGTCCCACACATCATATAAAAATATCATGACATATAATAATAAAAAAAAACTTACCAAAAGGATTGCTGAGTTCCAGCCTAGTTCTATCATTTACTAGCTTGCCTTAAGGGAGTTGCATAACCTTCCGTAGTCTCAGTTTCTCCATATGGAAAATAAAGATACTATTTCTTCTACAGGTAGATTTTGAGAATTAAATTTAACAAATAACCTGAAAGTTTCTGAGGCTCTTCTTAGTTCAAAAATTGTAAAATTTTCTGATAAAAATGAAATAAGTTTTTATAAAAACAGGTGAGGTCAGCATGGGCCCATCAGTTACCAATTATTCCATGCCAACATATTTCTTTTTGGTTTTCCAAATATATGATGAATCTAGTTGACTGTCACAAATATATTCTAGCCCTACCATGTTCCGAACTCTGTTCTGGAATCTGAAGATTAAAGAACAACAAGAAGATAGAGCCACCGTCTCTACCTCTAAGGATTCCACAGATCTTAATCCAAGGTAGAGAATCTGTATTTTATGGGCTGCCATGACACTTATGGAATGCCATTCCTTTCCTCAAGTTTAACACAAACAGTCCTTTATTGTTGTGTTTTGAAGTCAACCAGGAAGGGAAAAACATTAAGATGGAGAACACAGGAAGACTGAAGTAGAAAGAGGAGGAAGAGCATTGGCTTTGGCTTAAAAGTGTGAGAACAGCCCTGGGCTGAGGCTCCACTTTAAGTATGCAGACTTCAAATGTGGCTACCTGGTTGATAGAAAAAAAAAAAAGTCCCTATACAACCAACCCTCCCTTGACTAGAGTAGTGATTCTCTCTTAAGTGGCTTTCCATATTAATCTAACTAAAGGCATTTCATTATATCCTTATCTTGCTCAAAAGCCTTCGATGGCTCTCACTGGCACCACACTAAATTTACCTTTTTTCCTCCTCCCAATCTCTTTCCTTCTTCAATTCATTTATGTTTGGATGTGTCTCATATCTCCTCACTAATATTGCCAGCTTTCTTAGAGTATAAAGCCTGTGTTACATGAGGATTGCCCTGTCCCTTGCATAGAATAAGGAATCAATAAATATTTTTAGATAGATTGTGAGCCCGTAATTTAGCACTTGGTCTTACAGCTTTATATTTCCATCTAATTTTCTTGGGCATAACTATTTTCATACTAGACAACAATTTTTTTAAAATAATAATGTTGTCCTAAACTTTTTATCCACCTAAGGGTAATATCAGCTTTAGATTTTGAAGAGGTGTTTTCTAATCGATCAATAATAAGGTGTGTTTTCTTGGCAATAAAGCCAATTTTCTTAGTGAAGTTCACAGAAAATATTATATGACATTCTTTTCAACTTTACACCTTTCCTTTCTACTGGCAATTTAACATATATTTGTAGAAGCACATACACACCAACCCAGCCAGGAATTGTTAGGGCTTTATCTGTTGTGTAGAAGGCATTACAGCCCTGGTTTTGCTGCTCTGGGCACTAGAATCTTTACTGCTATTGACAAAGTTCCACCCAGCCTAAGTATCTGCCCATAACAGCACCTGAAAGTATACTTTTTTTTTTTTTTTTTTTTTTTGCTGAGACAGAGTTTTGTTCTTGTTGCCGAGGCTGGAGTGCAATGGCGCGATCTTGGCTCACTGCAACCTCTGCCTCCCGGGTTCAAGCAATTCTCCTGCCTCAGCCTTCCTGAGTAGGCATGCACCACGATGCTTGGCTAATTTCATATTTTTAGTAGAGACAGGGTTTCTCCATGTTGCTCAGGCTGGTCTCGAACTCCTGACCTCTGGTGATCCGCCTGCCTCAGCCTCCCAAAGTGCTAGGATTACAGGCATGAGCCACTGCACCCAACTGAAAATATACTTTATTGGAGGACTTCGTGACAACACCAAATATAGTAGTTGTGAAAGACTCAACCTATACATGTAATGAGAAGTGCACACAGTTTATCACATAGATAGCTTATATATACAGCTAGTTATACACAGTGCTTAAAACTCGTAAACAGAAATGAGCAAGAGATTAATTGCCCCTCTGGTCCATTCTTGGTTCCTTCTATTATTTAGGTTTTGCATATCCTTAGTATGGAACACCTTCTTCTTGACCCCTTCCATGTGTGCTAGAATTGGTCAGGTCTTTGTATTGAGTTCTTATTACTATTTTCAGAAAATTCTAATTCTTTATCACTGTTTTGCCAAGGAGGCTTTGCTTCCTTCCAGTGAGCTTTGCATAATGTTGGCTGCCAGCCTTATTAGGCTGTACTGTGCCCCGGTTCACCCTTTTTTCTAATCCGAGGATTCTGGATTCTAGCCAACAGCATCTAGGCTCTGCTTTCTTTTCTTTCTTTCTTTTTTTTTTTTCTTAAGTTAGGTTGGGGTTAGTTAGAGTATGAGCGGAAAATGAATTATACCACTAGACAGATAGATACAAATGGACTGCTTCTGTCATTCAACTAAACAACCTCTGCTGCAAATGTCTGTGTGTGTTGAGGATGGGGACAGAATATGGAGAGATACCATTTAATTGTGACTTCTGGTATTGGGCACAAATATATGTATTGAAAATTAGCTCTCTGTGAATTGCCAGCGTAAGTTAGTTTCTAAGGACTCTCAGACTTTGAAAGTAGACAAAGCGTTTCTCATTACACTGAATTCTATCCCTGAAGCTGAAGAAAGAAGCATAGGCCCAAGAGAAACTCAAACTTAGAACAAGGAATGTAGGACACTTGGCTCATTGTTAGTTACAGGTTCCACTTAAAAATACAGATGAAAGATAACCTAGGTCCAAATGGCACATTGTAAGCTGAGCCACAGTAAAAATTGTGAACGGTATCACTGACTTGCACATTAAACTATACATAATGCAATGTGTATATGGAGCCCAGTGAAAGATTAGATCTGACTCAGTAATTTCAAACAGTTGGCCTCTTTCATTCTTTAATTATCCTCACCAATTTCAAGAATTAACTTTAACTTTTAATTACGTAAGCTTCCTCTTTTTGGATTTGTGTTACATTTGTAGGCTTATCTAAATGTTAGATCATAGGGATTTGTTTTGTTTTGCTCTGTTTTGTTTTTCTCTTTTTGCTGAATAAGGATATTTGTTCCCAGTTATGATTGTCACAATGACCCTGCCCAAAAAATAATAATATTAGAGGCCATGAAGGTCTCCAACCAGGCTATTGTGGGACCCCTGATGCCAGAGCTAGATTGCCTGGCCAAAAATCATATCTCAACATAATTGGCTGTAGTGACTAAAAGAGAGTGAGAAAGAAAGAAAGAGTCAGCAGGTCTGATAGGAAGGCTTCAGGCATTCATATCTAAATGGTCTCCAAATGTGCCATTTTGCTCATAATGACACAGGATTAGAAGTGAAATATAATTGAGGATTTAGCAAATGTTCAAATAAAAGGTCTTGCCACCCTGTCCTCTCAGTACCTCTTTTCTACCACATATAGATATAAGTGAAATGGAGTTTAAAGGATTAAGAGTGCAAATTTAGCAGAAGTTTGGATGTCTTTTTTCATTTTTTTTTTACCCTTCTCTGCTCATAAGATAATAAACCTTTTGAATAGACTCCCTTGCAATGCTGGCTAAACCACTCTTCTTTTTTCCATTACTTAATGTTTTTAGTCACAGCTTGACCAAATATCTTGACAAAGAGACAGATTTCTGGGAATTACATGAATTTATTCAGAGTGCATCAGTGGTCTTTTGAGGACAGGCAATGCTATCTGAGTGTGACACATTTGACACATGGGGACATGTGATCATTTGCAAAGGAGCTTCAAGGCCTCTGACACGTAAGCACTTGCTTTCTTTTCTCCCTTCTCTTCACTAGCCAAACACTACCACCTGCCTCTTCTCCTAGCCAAATACTCCTTTTGCTCTTCCTACAATTTCCCTTATCTTTATTTCATTTACTTCTTCTTTTCTCTCCACCAGTCATTTCCTCTAGGATTACACTTCCAGGTCTTCCAACTCCAAGTGGTATCTTTCCCTCACTCATCCCTGTGCATTCCCTCTTATTTCTGTATACACAACTCTCATAACAACTCTATCAAATTTATATATTGATTTTTAATATGCTTCTGTCTTTGATTGGTTGTGTTCCTTGGCCTTTATTCACTGGCATTTGTCACCAATAATTAGCATAATGTATAGCATGTAGTAGGCCCTCACCAAATACTTGTTTAATCAGAAAACTCAGATAACTTCAAACTCTACTGGAGCTGTTGTCTTACTTACTTCTCATGCACCCACACTTCCATTAGTGATAGTTCTCCAACTGCCCTGAGCTTAGAGGATAGAACAGGTACCAGTTGGAGGTGCCTACCAGTGTGTATTGAAGACAAGGGTATATCATTTGAATTTTTCTAATACATTGATTATACCTGTATCTTGGTAAGTTGTAAGACACTCTCCTGTATATTTCCTTTTCTTTATGGGCATGCAATCTTGTTCTTTTCTTATAAATCATAGCTACTAAGTTTAATTCATTTGCGCATAAGTGAAAAAACACTGACAAATATTTTCTAAGGTGAACATTTTGATACATTATATTGGTGTCTGCTATTACTACCATAAGAGTTTCTGCACTGAGTGTGACAGTACGTGTGAGGCTGTTTGCATATATATTCAGGCTTGCCCAGGGTATCTTGGATCTTGCCACTTTGGAAACCTAGAACAATTCCAGGATTTGGGGAAGAAGCCCAAAATGGAATATTTGGTATAAACATGATTATCCCTTGCAAATCAATCAGCCATGTGACTTTAGGCAAGTTGTTTAACTTTCCTAAAACTTTCCTTTTTCTTCAAGGGAGGCTAATGGTACTGACTCTACAAAGTTCTAGAAATAATTATGAGGCAAGGCAATGACAAGTTATGAGCCCATTTATAAAGCCGTATGATCAGCCATAGGGTCAATATGAGGAATTCCATGCTGGTGTACAAAAATGGCCTCCTTGTGAAGCACTCTTATCTCATGTTCTGGGGAAGGGAGGAAAGACAGAAACTAAATATTTAGTGGATGCCTATTTTTTCTCTGAAACTAAGTGACAATGAGGCAAATCAATGAGTGTGTGAATGAGGCACTTTTTCTGGGACATTAGGAAATTTCTTGCTGAACTTTCAAGCAATTCTACATAAAGATAGTCTACTTATTAACATGCAGCCTGAAGTTCTAGGTTTTTGTTTTAATTCTTTACTGTGCTAAATATTAGTGCATCCCACCCTAGTACTAATAGTTGCTTAAGTGCTAAATGATGGTAGCTGTGCCCGAGCACTCTATTAAATTTTAAAACTGTTTCTTGATATAAATTTTTTGAAATGTGGCCAGGCACCGTGGCTCACATCTGTAATCCCAGCACTTTGGGAGGCCAAGGAGGGAGGATCACTTGAGCCTAGGAGTTCAAGAGCAGCCTGGGCAACATAATGAGACCCAGCCTCTACAAAAAAATGTTTTAAAGCAGCTGGCATGGTAACACACACCTGTAGTTCCAGCTACTCAAGGGGCTGAGGTGGGAGAATCACTTGAGCCCAGGAGGTTGAGGCTGCAGTGAGCTGTAATCACGCCACTGCACTCCAGCCTGGGTAACAAAGTGAGACCTTGTCAAAAAAAAAGAGGAACTTTTTGAATTTCTTTTTACTTTACGAATGTGTTGGGAAATGCACAGTCAGGTCCTTTAAATGAGAGTGTTGCAATGAGTGCCACTTAGTTACTGATTGGATAGAAGTGGAGCAAATCCAGATGTCGCTATATTCCAAAGTAAGATACTCTAGGCTTGGAACATGAGAGAAAGAAAATGAAATTGACCCCTCCTCTGACCCACTTTCCTTTTGTAACTACTGCTACTTCCTGTTCTCTCACAATAATAGCAAAAGTGTACATATTTTATTCCATGGTGTGGAGGACCTCATGTTTTTCATGTGGATGACTTTTAAAGCTTATTTTCCATTCTATGATACCACAGATTTGTATTCCTCTTCTTTGCATCTCCAACATTGATAACCCTAACTATCTCATTTTGGGTAGAGTTTAGTTTCATTTAGATTGCACCCACAATTACATAGATGGAATTAACAACCTGGAGTTATTTTAAAAAGTTGAAAGATGCAAGGGCATGTGGAGAGGAAACAAAATGAAGGACAATTATTTTTAATCTTATAAAGTTTTGTCACAAATATTTTCCCAAAGAGAACAACATGAACCAACCAAACAGTCCTTAAGTAGAACATAAATTTCCTGGCATTTGCTTCAGCATTTTCAGTTAATAAATGTTCCATGCCTGAAGGTAATATTTTGATAAAAATTTGTTCTTTTATTTCTGTGTATGTATATGTACACACACACACTTGTTATATGTAAGGTGGTATGCTAAACAGCTTGGAAATTAGAAAGATGAATGACATAATCCCTTTCCTCACAGTTACAATTTAGTAGCTTCTCACACCGTTTGCATAAAATGGTTGTTAGAGCCATAGAGTACATAATGTCCTAGTGAAAGAGTAATATGGAAAGAGCAGAAGGTGGAGGTCAGAGCCACAGGGGTCACTCCATGTTTAAAATACAAAATAGAGGGAAAGCCAGTGAGAGAGATAAATGCAAAATGGCTGAAATGATGGAAAGACGATCACTGTAGTGACTGAAATCTGATTAAGAAGAGAGGTTCCAGCAGGATATGGGCATAACAAAGTTTCTGAGGGGCCAAAGAGAATCAAGACTGAGCAAAGTCCATTGCATTCATCTAGTTGGAAGATGCTGTTGTCTTTGAGAAACATGGTTTTTAGAGATCATGAGAATGTAGCTGAGTTGCAGAGGTTGAAGACAGTGTTTGGTGGAGAAATAAATATGATAAGTAGATTATTTGAAAAAGTTTGGTTTTAAGGGGAAAAAATATAGAAGAAGCAGGAATCATCTGATAGAGTAAAGACAAATTCGTACTTTGCTGTGTACATTGGCATAGGTGGGCAGCATAGTTGTAGCACAGATGTAGTTTGGGAGCAGAGTGTTCTGTGTGTGTGAAAGGGAAAAAGAGGGAGGGAGAGAGAGAGGAAAGGAACAGGGAAACTCAAAAGGATGATGGAATGGTTGATGGAGCCAGAGCCTAGAAGTGAAGGGATACAGAGTGAAGATAGAGGTATTTACGTATATTTTAATATTAGCTTTGGAATTACGTAGGGATTCTTAAGAAAAGATCATGACAGGACAGCCACATTTGGTAAAATGTCAGGGCAGCCAGTGCATGGTCCTCCTGGGGCTCCTCAGTTGACGGGTTTAAATCATTTCCTGATCCCCCTGCCCTGGTTTGAGGAATGCATACAGTACGTGAAATGCCTGTGGTATGAGTTGCAATGGGCAATCAACCTGGGTAAATCCAAGATTAATGATTAGTTCTAAAGATCCAGTTGAAGTTCTAGAGTGGGAATTTTCCGTCAAGCAGCTCAGCACAGCTTTATGCCTGTTCCTCTAATAACGATAGGTAACAAATAGCTGTGTGTACACAGCTAGGAGGATAACCAAATCTAGAGTTCTTGAGTCTCATTTAATAAATAAGTATTATGAGTACCAACTGCATATTTCAGGCACTGCATTTGACTCTGTTAAATACTGATTCCTTATGACAGCCACATCAGATAACATTAATCTGTCTGATCAATAAACAGCTTGACTTAGAGAGGTAAAATAGCTTGCCACAGGTTACCCAATTAGTAGGTAACAGCGACAGAATAACAGTGCAGTTAAAATCTTAGACTGGAGACTAATTGCATAAGTTTGAATTTCAGTTCTGCTATGTAAATTTGGGTGAGTACCTTAATTTACCTGAGTCTCGGTCTTTATATCTGTAGAATGGAGCTAATGATATTACTTAATTTGCTTTATGTGAGATTAAATGTACTAATATATGTAAATCACTTACAACAGCATTTGACATATTTGACATACTTAATATATTTGCTACTAATACTATTAGCAACAGCATTCTGATTTTCCAAGTTGAAATTCAGTGTTTTCTTTTTTACTTTGCCATAATTTACAATGTTGTGCTCTGTAAACCATAAATTTCCTGAGGTGTTGTCAGGTTAAAAAAAAATCACTATGGCCCCCAAAAACTTGGAAAATAGAAATGAGACCAGCTTCATCTATATTCTTTACTGCAAATAACTTAGAATTGTAATAGGCTAATATGTACTGGGACTTCCAATTTGGGAATATGACAAAAATAATACTATTTAGCTAAAACATATACAGAACTTATTTTTCCTCTGAAAACACCTATTAATATTTTGATCATTATTTTTCCTGTAGAATACACTTGCAAAAACTGTTACTCTGCACTTTGGCTACACAGCAAACAATATTGAAAAGACCAATCCATGCTTGGCACAAGAATGTGTTCATAGGAAAGCAAAGCTGGAGAAGAACCGATGAGTTTCTGAGGATTGTCGGGGTTTGATAGAGTCTGGCTCAGAAGTAGGGCAGAGAGTGGATTCAAGAGATGGCAAAGAGTAAGAGAGGGAGATGAGAAGGTGAGAAAAGAGATAAAACTATAATATTAAGACCTTGGAGGTAGATCTATTCTTCATAACAAAACCCACTGTGTGTGGGATTGTGTCTTTCAGTTATTTTTAAAGGAAAAAAAAGTCACTGATGTTTAAAAGGCCAAGAAAGTATGAAATCAGAGTTCCAAATAGTTCATCATGTGGCTACTAATGCATTATGTACACCTCATATTTTATACTTTTGCAATAAATAGAATTAGAAGAGAGAAAGGAGAGAGAGAGAAAGAAGTGGGGAGGGTTGACTTACACAAACGTAAGAAGACACAAAAGCAAAACCACTATTTGAATCCTGCTAATTATTGTAATCAAGATATAATAAAACATATTTCTCATTTTTGCAGCACTTCCTTTTCTTTAAGCAGTTGTTTTCTTTGTTTTTGATTCTAGAGTAATTTTTAGATTGAGGAAATGTATTTGAAAGCACTTCACATCAAGAATCAAAAGAATTTGCTTTTTTTTGCATGGTACTGTATGATGTGAAATGAAGATGTTGGTAGTTATGTGAAGAGTTTGGGAATGTATATATTCAAAACAAATCTTCTCAATTCTCTGAGATAATTTTAGCAAATAAGGTAGTGCATAGCTCTGAAAGGTGTTAGTTTATTTTTACGGTCAATCTACTGTAAACAAAAACAATGTGAGGAGCCAGTGACAAATAGGACAACTTTATTTATGTCTTTATTTTCAACAACTACATCTACCCTAGAAATCTTTAGCAATGCCTGAGATATCCAGCCTTCCATTCTTTTGGCAGATGTGCCTATTTTCCTATTAAATAATTTGTTGTCAACATACTCAGTCAGAAAGCAAACAAGCATGGACCGAATCTCTAAAAGCTACAGAATTTAGAAATGACAGATATTTATTGAAGTGTACCAAAAATGAAAGACTTTCCTTCCGTCCTTCCAATAATCCCTTCCTTTTTCCTGATTATCCACTCATCTTATACCAGCTCTGGACCAAGAACTGTGCTGTATACCAAAGATCCAAAAATGAATAAGACTTAGCTCCTCCTCTTAGGAACTCAAAATCTAATAGGGATTATGTCTGATTTAATTCTCTCTACATTTACTGAATGCTGTCTATGCATCAGGCAATTTTCTAGGAGTCTGAGATGCTAGATACTAGTATTTATTATAAAATGCTATAAAGGTTAAAATTAAGGCATCAAAAGTTAAGGAAAAATAGAGAATAAATGCCTAAATTAACTTTGGAAAATCAATAAACTTTACTTTTGAGTTTCAAAAAGGGTATAAGCAAAACACATAGACATCAAAGCGCAAGGTATATTTTGGGAACTGCAAATAGTTCTGTGAACCTGGAAGAAAGGAAAGAATGTGGCAGGAAGTGACAGGAGATGAGGCTGAAGCCCTGGGAGTGGCCAGAGTGGGGCAGCTGATGTGGATTGGGATCTGGCTAGAGCAAAGTATCTTTAGAGAAGGATAAGAATGAAATTCACAATGAGTGAAAGGGATGTAGAAAGGCCGAATGGAGAAGGAAGACTATAGAGAACTACTTGAAAAAAACCTGCCGGGCGCAGTGGCTCACACCTGTAATCCCAGCACTTTGGGAGGCCAAGGTGGGTGGATCACCTGAGGTCAGGAGTTTGAGACCAGCCTGGCCAACATGGTGAAAACACGTCTCTACTAAAAACACAAAAAATAGCTGGGCGCGGTGATGGGCACCTATAATCCCAGCTACTTGGGAGGCTAAAGCGCAGGAGAATCGCTTGAACCTAGGAGGCAGAGGTTGTAGTGAGGTGAGATCGCGCTATTGCATTCCAGCCTAGGCAACAAGAGTGAAAACTCCATCACAAAAACAAAACAAAGGAAAAGAAAAAAATCCTGGCTGTGGAAAAGTGATGGTTACATAGTTGTGTAAATTAAGCTGTGTGGAATAGACGACCCAGATCAGACACAAGAGAGAAGGATGTATTTGAGAGTCATAGACCAAGACAGATCAGGCCTTGAAATCCACAGAGTAGAGATTTGACTTCATGAAGTGGATGACAAGGAACTGTTGGTGGTGTGAGAAGAGTATGGTGGCTCTGAAGTGGGGTACTCTGTGTGTTAGTTAGATTCTTCCCCTGCCCGACGTACACTGGATGAGAGAACAAAGTGTCAGTCAGCAGCCTAACTGGTGCCTGAGAAAGTTGGAGAGAAAACATAATTTGAGCTATCTGCCTAATTAATTCCCCAGGGCAAGCCCAAATAAACCCCTAGGACTGATACTAATCTTTAAATAACATTAACATTGGCTTGTGTCAATTAATTAGGGAATTAATGAGCAATTAAAGTGCCCACTCTTAAACAATTGGTGATTTGTGATGATTACTATGTTGCACGCTATGATGT